>NC_000011.10:31575151-31726666 GCF_000001405.40 Homo sapiens | reverse complement strand
TTTTTTTTCTTTTTGGCCACTGCCCCTTCATTAGGATTTCTATGTTACTTTACAAATTTTAAGTAGAGACCACATTATGCTGAGTTTCCTCAGCATATTTGACCAGAGAATTTTTTGTTGATTTGTAGCATCTGATAGAATTAGCGTTACACAGCAGGCATTTGGAACATGCTGGCATATCCTCTCCTGTAAGATTAGTTACCAAAAATCACAAATGATCCCAATATTGCTTACAGTCTCCCTTTTCATGTGTTCCCCTGTATCCTTGCCCCTTTATTTCTTCCTTTTTAAATTGCTATAATACCAGTTCCCTGGTCTCCTTTCCTCCACCCTCTTCTGTACCTTGTCTAACAGTGAACTTCCCCAAATTTCCATTTCCCACAGGTCACTCTGCTGAAAAGCCTTTCTACTGTACTCATGTTTATAGTCTTCAATTCTGTCCTTGATAACCCCTTGATCTGATGTTCCCAGCCTGCTTTTCTGATCTTATATCCTGTATTTTCATTAGAAAAAAAGCTTACTCACTTTCCCCAAATCTGTTCCTCAATTTTCCAGATCTCAACCTCTGTTTACATTCTCCTCTGAGATTATCTTTCCTCAATCCTATTCATTTTGCCAAAGTCTATCTGATATACCACCCTCCTTTGTTAAGCATTCTTAGAATCTTAGCCTTTTCTGAAAAGGTAAGGAAACCGATATGTAAAAAATTTTTTTACTGTGTGTCAAGAATTTCTCAAGAACTTGACGCTGCATCAAAAATTACTCCTTCTATCAGCATATAAATATAACGGCATGGGGAGTAGTTGCTTACAGGATGGACCCATCCCTGGCAACAATAGAGACTAAGCAATGCCCAAAGTGAGGCTTCAGCAATTGGACCCAGATACCCTCTAAGGGTGGAAGAGGTATACCCACTACCACAGCCATGGCTCCAACTTAAGAAGTTTCGGGAAGGAATGGCAAGAGTTATGAGGTAACTTGTCTGTGTGGGAAATACAGTGCTTGTGGTGAAAAGATTTTATTTTGTGAAGCTGGTTTCAAAAGTGCTGGGTGGGGCTCCAAGAGACAAACTCAAAGTCTGGCCAAGCTTGCAAGATGAAAAGATTGGCACTCCATTCCCCAGTGAACATCAGTCTAGGCAGAGAATGTGCTTATCTGTCCCTGTTCCTGTCAAGCAAGGCAGGGAGAACTAGAGAGAAATGGCAGGGCAGAGAGAAGGGGTGGTGGTGGAGCAGCTTGCATGACCATGGTCTGGCCTGGCAAGGATGTAGGAAATTCCTGTGGGACAAGCAGGATGAGTTTCACTTGCTGAGTTCAGTCTGCTGGTGTTCTACCCAAGATGATGACCTGCCTGGCAAGGGGAATCCATCAGCAAGAGGCTGGTGAGGCACACCACTGTGGGCAGGAGAGGAGATGTAACAATTGCTGTACCCTGACATCAGAAAGTATGATGTGGATGCATCACAGGGCCTCTGAAAAACTCAAACATCTAGCCCGTGAAAAGGCCAGCATTTGGATTCCTGCCTCAGAGGTAGTCAGAGAAGCAGTCATAATGAACAGCAGACTCTTGAGAGGGCAGCTGTGTAAAGAAACATATGCCTATTCCCACTCTTTTTCCCCTGGCCCAACGAATTGGAGGAACCAGGTCTTGCAAAGAGGAGGGAGAACCACAATCTTTGAACCAGATTTTGCTCTCTAATTCCTTCAACATCTCAAATAGTGAGGATCCTCATTGAAGTCTGCATTGGGAAAAAAGCAGAGGAGATTTTAAACTATATTTGAGATTAAAATTTTAAACAACACTGAATTTTAATAAACAAGTGACCCCAAAGCTGCAGAATAACACAAAGATATATGTAAGGGACAGGAAAAGATTTTACAAAGCACACTTGAAAGCCACAATAAGAACAAATCAAACTGTTTAATGTGTATGTTTCCTGAGTTGAGATGCCTCAATAAACTGGTAAAACATGTTGGCCATGGCTCTTATTTCATGCTTTTGTATGGTGACATCCTACACTCTGGAGTGAAAGAAAGACTGTGGAAGAAGTAAGTCATGGCCTCTGGCCTGGTCACTTGCAAATCCACAAATAAAGTTAATGAGAATTATTAGGATCTGTCTTGTTGGTGATTTGAAGGCACTGGAGTCAAGGAATTACACGGCTTATTATCTTTAAATTCTTCTATTTTGGAGACATGGCTTTAGACAAGTTGGTCCAGCAATGCCTCCATTATAATTAGTTAATATTTTATAACAGCATTTCAATTAAAACAGTGATTTCATAATTACAACTATGATTAAAATGAAAAGGTTGCAGTCAATGTTAGTTTTTATATAAAGAAACATGAAATCATCTTTGATCAGGGAGACAAGAAGAAAATAAAGCCAGCAGTAAGATGTTGGTTGACACGCCCTTTCTTCCCACATCCTTCCTCTTCCCAGTCCAGTCTTCTAGAGGGGCCTAAGCATGCACTAACAATATAAGAGGGGCCTGGTAACTTCCTTTCCACTTCCTTGACCAGGACAAACTGATGGGAAACCCAGTTCTGTCATTAATTAGCTACATAACCTCGGGCTGGGCAATGTGGGGGTAGAGGTGAGGGTTAGAGCAGCCATCTATAGAAAGTTTTAAAATGTCGCAATTTTTGAAGTATCCATAAATCCCCTTTGCTTTACATTTAATATCTCCAGGCCTTTCACATAGACAACCCTATTTATTTGATAGTTGCATTTAGTGTTCTAACTAGATGAAGGAGACAGCCTATTCACTCAAGGTACCTGCAACCAATTAGGATTTTATCTTCTAGAAATTTGCTTTAAGACAAAGCCTCGAACACTGTACAGTGTTTATAAATATGATCTGCTTTTTCAGTGCATAAATAAGTTATTTGCTCCTTTTTCAGTTCTCCTATAAGAATCTTTTGGAGGCGGACTGTCAGGGTTTGAATCCTCCATGTGCGCTTTACCACACAGTGATCTTGGGTATCAGTTACTTCAGCTGTAAAATGGGGATAATGATGGCATATACATTAAGGTCTTTGAGGATTAATGAGTTAATACATGTAAAGTGCTTAGAACAATGTCTGGCATAATACATATTAGCCATTATTTTATTGTAGGTAGATTGGGTCTATCCAGCAGGTGGGTCCAGCTTCTTTGGCATCACACAGAAAACTGTGCTTCGAAGGGTCCTGTGTTTGGGGTTTAATGTTCTGTGTTTGCTGTCATGAAATTCCTAATGATTTCATTATTGAATTTATGTTTTGTAAGTGAAGTTTGTGGGAACAATGAAGTATGTGTGGACCTGGGGGAGTGGGTGGCGGGGGGCGGGGGTGGTGTTGGTTACTATGCAGTCCCTGTCCCCTGGCCTCTAGGATGGGTAGTCCATACCTGCTCTGCCATATGCTGGGGCTTCAGCCCTCACAGGATTCCCAGCCTCCTTTCTCCTTCCTTAGTGACTAGTGACTGCTATTGCTTTCTGCCTCATTCAGGGCCTAGATGAGGGTGTAAAAAGGATTAGGGTTGACCCATGGCATCTTGAGATGGGACATGGAGACAGTTGTCCTGCCCTAAACTGGCAGTGCCTCAGGACTTTGGTGGGTGACTGGGCAGGGGTAAGCTTCTTGCCACCTCTCATCCAGGTACCTACCACATTCCAGCATGGAGGCTGCAAAAGCCATCCAGAGAGGGCTGGGGCAGCGGGCCTGTGGGAGGGTGATGCCTGGCTCGACTTCCCCACTTCTGGTGACCACAGCCCGTCAGCTCAGTGGCTGGCAAGAGCAAAAACCTGATACCTAATGGGCTGCTTGTGTCCCAAGTTGTGGGGTGAGACCCACAGGGTCCTGTGAAGTCTGTGCTGAGTATCCCTGTGCCTGAAGGAGCATGACCTTAATTAGCAAATAAATACAGCAATACAGGTAGAGAAAGGGGGAGAGAGAAAGAGAGAGAGAGAGAGAGAAAGAGAGAGACAGAGAGAGAGAGAGAGAGAGAGAGAGAGAGAAGAGACACCTTGGGAGAAAGGGAAAAAGTTCATGTTTTAGTATTTTTAATGGCAAGTTTTCTGGTTTTTTGAACCACAGGACCCACATTTTCATTTTCACTGGGCCCTGAAAACTATGTAGTCATTCTGTCTGCAAGGCTTACTTTCTTCCACAGAAGGGTTTTACAACTTTTACTAGGCATTTTCACTGAGAAGTCACAGATGATTGATTATTAAACTATCTGAATATAGACAATGTCAATTGTAAGCATCATATGTAAATTTTAAAATGTATAACTAATTTAAAAAACTCATACTAGCTCAATATTTCCAAGATTATCATTCTCTTTATTCCACATAGTGGAAATTAAGTACTGACTCCTCCTTCCTGAATTCTCAAGTCTTAATCATTTGTGTTTTGGACAAAAGAATAAACATTGGAAACAGACAACAACAGCAACAAAAATAATATATTAAGAGTTTTCTGTGGGAAGTTTTCTCTTACTTCCAATGGCCAGGTTGGATAGACGTGTTTTTATCTGAGGAACATTGCAATTATTTAATATTTGAAATATTATGTATGTTTAATAATGATATAAAGTACCATTAAGTTACAATTTTTCACCCAAAATATCAATCAGTATTTTCCACAACAAATATTGTGGAAGCTGCTGGCCACAGGGCTGTGTATTAGGCTGCTGTGGGTACATAATAAAAGCGAGGAAGGCACTGGAGAGGGCCACAACATCGGTCAGGGAGTAAGTAGTAAAGGTGAACTCATTATCATTACAACAAGTTATAAGTTATTGCCAATTATTTAAATTATAAAGATGGTAAGATCAAGCCTAAAAAGTACATAGAAACAAAATAAACGTATCGTGGAGCCTATGAATTGTACACATTTTTAGTTTGGTAACGTTTTGTTTTTTTCAGTTCAATATCATTTTTAATTGAACCATTTTATCTGAGAAATGATTTGCTCATTGATATTTTCCAATTGATTAATGTCCCCAGGGTCCTGCCAAATTTGAATCTGCTACCCCCAAAATTCCCCACAAGACCTGCCACTGCTTCAGAAGTGTGCTGAATGAAAGAAGGCAAATCCAGATTCCAGCTGAGCAGTCAGGAAGCATCATCATGGGTTGAATGAAAAATCAGGAGTTGAATACACAGTTTTAGAAAGGATATTAAAAAAAAAAGCCAAGACAGTTAAAAATTCTAACAAACCAAAATCCACTAGTGTTGTGATACAGTACTAATGTTATTTGTGGCTAGAACCTATGTTATATTACATGATCTTATAATTTTCTGTTTCTTTTAATGGCAACAGGTTAATATGCACAAGGAAAATCATGCATACCAAAATCAAAAGGAACCCATTGGCATAAGGCATCTTGGCATCAGACTAGATTTACACACGCTGACATGTCAAAAGCCTTGAAACAGAAACTTCAGAACCTCTTCATGAATGCTGAAGGCAGCTCATTGACTTCATACTAGCTCAAAAGTACATCTTTCCAGGGATGGCATTCAACCACACAATCAAAAAAACTGGCAAACAAAGCCTGAATATGTACTTGGCAGTGAAAGTCTTAAAGCAGAACAAAATATAAGACAGCTTCCAAAGCTGCCAAGTTTCAAATAAGAATCCAAGACTCTAAATACAAAATAGGGAGTAAGGCACATTTTGAATAGCAATTTTGACCGATGGGGCAGAGTGAGCAAATTGAGCAATAGCCTCCATTTCTGTACCATGATCACAAACTCCCCTGGCCTGTCTTCTTAGGCTGGGCAAGAGAGCAAAAGGAACATGATTTCATTCCATCTGGTACTTGGCACTTATCTTCTTTTTGCTTTATCTTGCAGTGCGAATCTGCTTATGCCCTGGTGTCCTCTCCAACTTTTCTTCCTAGCTATGCTGTTCATGTTTCTTGAGAGCAAGGATTGTGCACAGTATGTCACACTTAGTACCACTCACTGGTGGACACTTAATAAGGATATTTTAAATGTTTGGTTGGAATAACCTCAATTGATTACTTAGTACTCCTCTCAGTTAACGTGTAAGTTTCAGTGAGTTCAAATTCTATCAGAAAACTTAAAAAGTTGTAAAGTTTTACTATGCCTTACCAACTACTCCTTTGCTAAGCACTGAAAGAGACTTTAATTCCTTTAATCTATTTTTTTTTTGGCCTTACTATAGCACAAGGGTGCTGAAGTGCATGCCTGCATCAGCGGGTTACCACTTCACTACAATTCAAGCAAAACAATTTGAAAAAGTGCCAAACTATCTTGGGACTGGGCAGACAATAGTGACCCTTCATGATTCCATGAATAATGTAAACAGGGAACATATTGTCGAGGTCAAAGGAAAGTAAAAAAAAAGTAATTGCCTAGAAAGAAAAAAGAGGTGTAAGATTTTAGGAGGACAAACAGCATTTGAAATGGAGATCATATTGTTTACATATTAAGTTCCGAGTTTTTGTTTTGCCAGTGCCAAGGCTGTGTTAATTACAATTATTTATCTTAAAGGTTTCTGCAGTCACAGAACTGTGGTGAGAATCTGTGCCTAACTCTTCCCTTCTGCTTGAATAAAAATAGATGATGAAGTAGTCAATATAACTTCACTTCACCAAAACTATGTCAGAGCTTTTAACACAAAAAACACTTGAAAAAAAACAAAGCTTTTTTACAAAAGGCCATTCCAGTGATTATGTAGTGGTGTCTCATTATGATTGTTCCCAATATTTTATTGTGAAAAATTTCAGATATAAGAGAATATGCATTTACACATCACTTAGGTTGTACAAGTAACCGTTCTCTACACTTGCTTTTTCACCTCTCTAAAGATCTATCCACATTCACCAGTCTCTCTAATTTGTGGTGAATTTCAAAGAAAGTTGCAGACATCAGTATATTTTACCCCTAACCACTCCAGCATGCATATCATTAGCGAAAAGTCAGTATTTGTTTATGGTTGTTTTTAAAAAATAGGTTTAATGAGATATAATTCTTATGCTGTATAATTCGCCCTATATTTCTTTTTTACATAAAAACTTTTAGTGAAGAAAACATAGAACATTTTTTTCTTCTGTCATTATTGTATGTATCAGATAATACTTGTGGCTTTCAGATCTGCTGATAAACACAAAGCTACAAGTTTTGGAAAAAATCAAATCTTCAAGTTTGGAAAAGACCACAGACTCTTCCTCCAATCCTAATAAAATGAGAAATTTCATTATTAGAATTATAAAAACATAATTATAAACCTCAACTTCAAATCTGAGCCATTAAGACAAATGATGTTTCATCTATAACCATTCCACAAAAACTCTGCCACTGTATGCCATGCATCCACATACTTCAAACTACCACAGTTTTATGCCTATTTACAGGTACAGATTTTCTTTTCTTTCTTTTTTTTTTTTCTTTTTCAGGGTCTTGCTCTGTCACCCAGGCTGGAGTATTGCAGTGGTGCAACATGCCTCACTGCAGTCTCAACCTCTCGGGCTCAAGAGATCCTCCCCTCAGCCTCTCAGAGTAGCTGAGACCACAGGCACACACCACCACACCTGGCTAATTTTTAAATTATGCGTAGAGACGAGGTCCCAATATGTTGCCCAGGCTGGTCTCAAACTCCTGGGCTCAAGTGATCCTCCCACCTTGCTCTCCCAAAGTACTAGGATTACAGGTGTGAGCCACTGTGCCCAGGCTGTACTTTCCAAATATAACTGTACAGCATCACCCATTGCATATACTCTTGTACACTGTGACCTTGCTCCTCCACAATTAAGTGTCAGGGCTTAATTTTTCTCCCCTTGAATCTGAGTGAACTTGTTATTGTTCTAATCCATAAAGTACGGCAGATGTGATAGCTTTGTCAGTTTTGAGATGAGTCATTAAAGGCAATGCATCTTGTTTACTATGACACTAGCTTTTGGAGCCTAAGCTGCCATCTAAGCAGTTTGACCATCATGTAAGAAGTGACCACCATGTGTGAGGAAGTCCAGGTCACATGCAAAGGCTACACACAGGTGCTCCGGAAGACAGCTCCAGTTGAGGTCCCAGTGGACAGTCAGCATCAACCATTACATAGGTCAGTGAAGACACTCCTAGTTGATTCCAAACTGTAGCCATCAAATTTTTCCAACTGAGTACCTAGGTACCATGGAATAGTGCATCCAACAAGCATGCCTGCTGTTCCCTATACAAGTTCCTGACCCACAAAAGCCTTGAATGTAATGAGTGTTTTCCATAACTATGTTTTGCGGTAGTTTAATACACAGCAATAATCACCAGAATAGCCCTTTTTTACTCCTCATTCTGCAAAGCAAACCAGAAAGCACCACTGTTTTAAAAAGAAATATAATTTTTCTTGGGCAGGTATATCTGCATATAGAAAATATCTTGCAAGATATCACCTCAGATGGTTAATATTAAGGTCTACATTTAGGTAGGCAGAAATTTTATAAAGTACTGCTCTAAGAATTTCATGTTTGTGAGTTCTAGCTACTGGTTTGATTGTAATGCTATTTGCCTATATTCAGAAATAAACATAGCCTAAAGTAGCACATATGAAAAGAGAGTTTTAGGAGCTGGGCTCAGTGGCTCAGGTCTGTAATCCCAGCACTTTGGGAGGCTGAGGCAGGTGGATCTCTTGAGTTGAGGAGTTTGAGACCAGCCTGTGCAACATAGTGAGACCCCGGGTCCATTAAAGAAAGGGTGGGGTGTAGTTGATTGTAAACTCAATATGAGTCAACTATGGATGCGGTTATCAAAAAACTAATATATTCCCAGGTCCATAAACAGAAGCACTATGATGATGTCATTTTTTCACTATAATGATTTTAAATGTATAAAATAAAATACACTAAATTACAAAGGAAATAAACTTCACTGAAATGTTATCAAATAATAAATTCTTTTTTTTTTTTTTGAGACACAGTGTCACTCTGTCTCCCAGGTTGGAGTGCAGTGGCGCAATCTCGGCTCATTGCAACCACCGCCTCCTGGGTTCAAGCGATTCTTTTGCCTCAGCCTCCCGAGTAGCTGAGACTACAGGCGTGTGCCACCACACCCAGCTAATTTTTGTATTTTTAGTAGAGATGAGGTTTTACTGTATTGGTCAGGCTGGTCCTGAACTCCTGACCTTGTGATCCGCCCACTTCAGCCTCCCAAAGTGCTGGGATTACAGGCGTGAGCCATTGTGCCTGGCCATAAATTTTTATATAACCATCTATCTGCACATTTTTATTAACCATTGAATAACAAGAATAGCCATGGGCCTGATACTAATATATTACAAATGAGGTAAGTAATACTTTGAGACAGCAATAAATGCATGAAAAAGTCTATGATTTCTGTTGACGACAGTCACAGTTACTGCTAATGTGACTGCGGTTTGTTGCCTATATTTATAACTAAGAAAATGCTACGTTTCAGTGGGAGGCTAGTAAAAATAAACATGTACATTTCTTTTCAATCCAAGTTCCTGGAACTCCCAAATTCTATCCACAGACTCCTTGTTCTTAAATCCCTTCAATTCCTTCATTTATCTATGATTCCTCAGGTTTACGGCATTTGTGGCCATCTCATTCATTTTTTTTTCCTGCTGCCAAATTAACAAGTTGGGGGGAAAGTTTAGAATAAAAGATGCATGAGACTCCTGGTTTGAGCAATTTCTTATATTTAGAACTGTTCATTATCTTCTCACTGGTCAATAGAATCTCATCCATTATTCTAGTCCTAGTTCAAGTCCTACTTTTTCTAGTAATGTATAATATGATCCATAAAGATTTCTCTTTTCTCTGAATTCTTACTGCACTTGGCATCAATTTACCTTAATTTTAGCACTTAATTAATCTCTATTTCATTCACTATCAGTTTTGTCTTCTCATCTAGACAGGGAGGTTTATAGAAATTGAGAATGTTTGTTATTTTGTATCATCCAAAGCATACTGCTAGGTACATTGCAGGTACTTGATATATCTTTGTATAATGCTTATCCTATTGGTAAGGTTGTCCAGCTACGTAAATCATCTATATTGCAATGGGAAACTGAAACTACATGTATTATTTCTTACTATCACTGTCAACTACAATGGATCACTGATGGGCTACACACAGTATTCCTTGATATTAATAATAACACTTATATGGCATTTATGTGCCAGATACTCTTCTAAGCACTTTGCATATTAATCTTATCAGCCCCATGATATAGAAACTATATTTATCCCCATTTTACAAATGAGAAAACTGAGGCATAGACAAATTAGTAAAGAGACAGAATGTAAAAGCAGATATTCTTTTCCAGAGCCAGTGCACTTAACCACTACACTATACTGCTACTCATTATCCTCATAAATAAAGAACTAGGCAGAGCACGGTGGCTTGTGCCTGCAATCCCGGCACTTTGGGAGGCTGAGACAGGGGAATGGTTTGAGGCTAGGAGTTTGACACCATCCTGGGCAACATAACAAAATCTTGTCTCTACCAAATAAATAAATTAGCTGGATGTGGTGGTGTGTGCCCGTAGTCCTAGCTACTCGGGAGGCTGAGGCAGGAGGATGGTTTACAACCCAGGAATTTGAGGCTGCAGTGAGCTACGATCATGCCACTGCACTCTAGCCTGGGTGACACAGCGAGGCCCTGTCTCAAAAACAAACAAACAAACAAACCTCCTTGTACTAATACATATCTCTAACATTACATGAAATCACTGGTTTGACAGTTAGCTCTTCTTCTGCTAAACTCCTATATCCCTTAACTGTGTAATCATTAACTCAGCCCTTGTACTGTTTGAATTTTATTTTAGTAAAGCAGTTACCGTCTATTGAGTGCTTGCTCTGTGTCAGATCCTAGGCTAAGTGACTTAATGTATAGTTACTCTTTGTAACAACCCAATGAGGCAGGAAAGGAAACCTAGGCTCACATATAAGTAGCAAAAGATTAAGCAGTAAAAGAGCAAGGATTCTAACCTAAAGCTGTCTGACACCAGAATTCATGCTTTAAAACACTTATGCTATGTGTTTAGCCTTATTTCTACAACTAGATTACAAATTCCTTGAAGGCAGGGATTATGTCTCATACTTGCTTGTTGGTTCCACAATACTTTGAATGCCTGATCTTAATATTTAGAAATTGTTTCTTGATTGATACAACTGACATTTCACACAATTTAGCGTGCTGTAACATGAACACATTGGAATCTCTCAGTAACTGTGTGCATGTCTTTTGGGAAGCTACCTACATTTTTCCATCTTCAGCTTCTTATCTTTAAAAGGAAAATACAGCTAATAATAGGAGTGTTTAAATATTAAAAGGTAATAATATCTTAATATATTTATTATAGTGTCCGCCACATAGAAAGTAATCAACTAATTCTGGCTTCTTATTCCCTTCTTTGAAATACAGTTTTTTTGGCCATGTCCACAAAGACTAATTTTATTAAGCATTTTTTATAAAACTGATTACATTTGGTTGTACAATTTTAATTTACAGCATTTAGTCTAATTTCTCTTCTTTTTCTCAAATTCAGCTAAAATGAGAAATATTAGTTTATTTTAAATCTGAGAAAGAGTTGCCATCTGAGCCAACGAAGTGGTTCTTCCGTCTCTATGAACTATCATAGTGGTTACTGATGAGTAAAAATGAAAGAAATGTGTGGTAGGCAGAATAACAGTCCTCAAAAAATGTCCATACCACAGTCTTTGGAACCTGTAATGTGTTACCTTACATGGCAAAGAGGAATTAAGGTGAAAGATTGAATTAAGGTTGCTGATTGGTCGACCTTAAAATAGGAAGATCTTGGTTTATTTAAGTGGGTCCAATGTAATTACAAGGATCCTTAAAAGTGAAGGAGAGAGGCAGAAAAAAAACCAGAGAGTTGGTAACATAAGGACTCAAACCCAATGTTGCTCGCTTTGAAAACGGAGGAAGAAGCCATGAGCCAAGGAATGCAGGCAACCTCTAGAAGCTGGAAAAGGCAAGGAAATAGCTTCTTCCTTGGACCATCCAGGAGGAACGTAGCTGTGCTGACCCCTTTTTGGACCTCTGCCTGCCAGAACCGTAGGAAAATAAATTTGTATTGTTCAACCCACTAAAATTATAGCAATTTTTCATAGCAGCAATAGAAAACTGGTACAGCATGTAAATTCCACAAATTTGGAATTGTGTAAAAACAAATATGGTTTTAAACAACTGTTAAGTAACAATATGAGTCAACAGTGATATTTCTCTTGATTGTACTGGAAGAAGTAAAATGAAATATAGTAAACATCACTGCAGAGTCATTACTAACATTTACTTTTAACTAGGTGGGTTAGAAATAAAAAATTTTTCTTTACAATTTATATTTTAGTCACTAGAATGTCCTTCTGTTTGTGAACATGATAAAAAAATTCTAAGGAAATAATTTAATTACAACAAGAGATTTTTGTTTGGACAAAAAGAAGGTATTTTTCATTCTATTATTATCATGCCTAAAATACTACCTTGGCTAACTGTTACTAAAATGTATTGCCTGGCTCTGAAATCCCTACATCTTACCAGACTTAAGCAGTTTTACATCCAAAATGAAACTTATGATTAATCATACAGTGCTGGTCTTTTCTATACCATCACAGACACTGGTCACCCCTAAATCTCTTATAATATTTCTACTCTACTTGGCATTCTTTCTCTTCTCTGTCCATTCAGCACAAACTGTCCTTCTCTAAGCACTTATATAGCATTCCTATTCTCTAACTACATTTTAGCTTCTATTGCACATTATTGTTTGTTATTTGCATTCCAATCATTATATTGCAGGTTTGTATGTTTAGTTTCCCTGTTACCTCCCCTTGAGGAGAGAAGAAGGTTGATAGGTCCACAGGGGTTTATTATATTATTCTCTACTTTTGTGTATGTTTGAAATTTTCTATAATAGTTAAAAATAAATACAACTAACTTGGGTAGATACTCTTCCATCTGTAAAGCTTTCTTTCAGTGTCTAGGTTTCTCCTTGCCTAACACTGTAAGGTTGGTGGAATTGAGTTTACCTCTAAAGTTACAGCTCTTTTGGTTGAGGAAACATGGCATAAATATATAATAATATGATGCTCAAAGGGTCATGGCCTTATCCAACATTAATAGTAGATTTCTATAAATTAGAGTATATTATGCAAGATAAAACTTTTACCATTGCTCAGTAAAGAGAAGCACAAATAATTTAACTTACTGGTCAATTGTTTGTATAATCATTATACTTTGAAATATTTGCTTCAATGTTATTGATACAGAATTCCTTGTTAGCATATTTCTGGCAAGAAATGATTGAGGCAGAAGGTTTTCATCAACATTTGATAAAGGAAAAGTTAGAATCAACAGTAAAACTTACCATTGCTAGATTATACCATAAAGTATTAACAACACAAAATGTTAATTAATTTCTAATTCTCTATTCTATTATTTAGATTTCATGAAGGTTGATTGGACTTGATCCATCATTTTACGGAAAATTGATTATTTCAAATACATGCACCACTTTATGCAACCTGCCTGATTTGCATTGAGGAAAATTCAGCAGAAGTAATTGAGGCACAAGCAAATACTGGCACTGACTGAACTCAATTTTCAGTCCAAATTTCCGCAAAATCCCAAGGCACAACAATATCAGATGCAAGGGGGAAAACAAACAAAAGCAATGTGAAAAGGGAACATGAAGAGAGAATATTACAAGAATCAGAGAACAAAGGGATTGCAAAACTATTTTAGTGGCATAGATGAGCAGTGAGGGCTTCATTCAGGCAAGGTGGAATAAGATATCATATGGCATCCTGACAATTGATGTCTTCATTTAAATGTAAGAATTTACATTCTAATTAGAAAGAATTTACATCTTAATCAGAGGCAGCTGTATTATCTTGTTACTGTTTTTTTCAAAGGTAATGAACTAAAGTACTGCTGTGCTTTTTCAACCAGAAACTAAATAGACAGCATCCAGTGCTATTTTATAGCTTACCTGCTGTAAGCTGTTATTAATATTTTCAAAGATTAAATTCTAACCAAAATCTCTTAAAAATGAAAATTGTATTTGACATCACTAGAATAGTATGATAAAGACATTTAAAGTATTTAAACAAATCCTTTTTACCTTGTATTTTAAATGTACTTATTTATCAAGCTAATAGAAGCCTCTTAGGATTTATTAATATAATATTGTTTTCATTTTGGGGGATGTAGAAAAGCTACTATTGCAGATATGTATTACCTGGTGAAACCTGGTTGCTCTCAAACTTACCTCTGGTTACAAGAGATCATTTACTAAATACAAAACTTTGCCTTATTAAGAATATTTAAGTTCACACAGGTTCTTTTTTATTTCAATGATATTTAACAAGGAAAGATAACATATGCTTAAAACAGAGTATTATCATTGAATTTTATGTGATTTCATTACTTCCACACTAATAACATTTAAAAATATAATGCTTCACAAACGTACACAATTCTGTTGGTGTCTAGTATTGCCATAGTTAGTGAAATTAAAGGAAATAATGCATTCTAATTTGTAATGTTATATTCTAGGTTGTTCATAATGATGGTAACTAGACCTAGGTATTGGTAGTTGGTGATAGCTTTGCAAAATCAAGCCCATCATTCATATGAGAATCAACATGAGCTCACTGACCCATGGTTTAGAAGAAATTGGGCTTGGCCTAAAAGAAATCAAGCAGAAGAAAATTACAAGTGTTAATAAAAATGTAAAATGCCACCTTTGTCTCTAGCACTATGCATCTTTAGGTTATTGATACTTATTTTCATCAGCTGCATCATTAATATGGCATTGTAGTATGGGCCAGTTGATAATTTGCAGGTTTATGATTTAATTCATTAGGTAATTTTTTTAAATAAAGTGAAAGGAAGGAAAATAATAAAAAGACTAAGGCTGTACCTACTACTATTAATAGTTTATTAAATAAATGACTAATTTGGTTAGTTTGGTCAAAATATTTGAAAATTGTAGTCTAAAATAATGCAGAGGTACATATTTATCTTTATCATCATAAGCTTTCTAAATCTATACACATAAAAGAAAAATATATAATATTCGAATGTGCTATATTTTACCAAAAATATAACAGAATAATTTCAGGTAAATTTTAAAAGATTAAATTAGTTTTAAGGTGGCATTTTCTTAACCTAGGCCACTCTGATGACAAAGAGGAGATAATTATTAGTTCACTGGTGCTTTTTCTTGTATTTCTACTAAAGACAATTTATAGAGGAAATGATTCAGATGGGTCTGACTGAATTACTGGCTCTGAAAGATGGCTTTATACTGCTGTCAGAAGCCGTCAGACCACTTTTGAAACGTTTATTTGTCTATGGCTCTTCTGTGAATGATTTGTTATAAGGGCACTTAACACTACCACATGGTACACACAGTGTCTTCATTTTCAAAAGTGTCCCAGATAAGTTTTTGATTACCTCTAGGTTTTATGGAACCTGTTTGCATTTTCATAAAGAATCTCTAAAAATAAAGTACACTTTGTTTTTTACATTTATGTATCATCCAAGCGTAATATAAAAGACTTTCAGTTAGAGTGTAACAGAGTCTCATATTTACTGTAACCATAAATATTCATATCCAATCTAAAAGAGCATAGTGAACTATAATACAAGATTCCTCTTGCTTTATATCTTGTTTCCCTAATCATTTTTGATTTGGACTGTCACAATTGTTTCCTAATTAGACTCCGTGCTCATAGTTACCTCCCCATCTATTTCTTACTTCATGGAACCAACAGCCTAAAGTCACGGGTTCTAGTCTCCCCTATTATATTGTAAGCTCTATTACTTACATGATATAGTATTTAAATGCTTGGATAGTTACATGAAAAGATATGGATTGTAATACTGATTATGTCGCTCTCTGTGTCTTATTCTTCTCATCCGTATGCTGAAGAGGTATCCAAAGTCCATTTATGCCAATGAACTCTTTTCTTCTGAAATTCAATGATTCTTACTCTTCATGTCTACTTATTGTGTTTTAGTTATTTCATATCTTTTTTTTTTTTTTTCAGATGGGGTCTCTGTCTGTCACCTAGGCCAGAGTGCAGTGGCACGATCTGGACTCACTGCAACCTCTGCCTCCAAGGTTCAAGCAATTCTCCTGTCTCAGCCTCCAGAATAGCTGGGACTACAGGCATGTGCCACAATGCCTGGCTGATTTTTGTATTTTTAGTGGAGACAGGGTTTCACCATGTTGACCAGGCTGGTCTTGAACTCCTGGCCTCAAGTGATCTGCCTGCCTTGGCCTCCCAAAGTGTTGGGATTACAGGCGTGAGCCACCATGCCCGGCCCTTATTTCATATCTATGAACACATCATTCTTCCTTCAATCTCAACTCAAAAATGTATTGTTGCCTCTTTCTGTCCATACAAATCTTGTTCATTTTTCAAGACCTATTTAAAGTGTATCTTCTCCAGAACGTTGCTCTGATCATGCTGGCCAACAGTAATTTCCCCCTTGTCTAATTCACGTATTCAACAAATATTTATTGAGTGTCTACTCTTTTTCAGGCACTATAGCAGGTGCTGGAGATGCAAAGAATGAATAAGAGAAATATGGCCCCACTATAAAAAGGGCTTATAATATAGTGGGGAAGACAGATAAGAAACTAGCAACAAAAATTAAAGACTGTGATAAGTGCAAGGAAGGCAACAAACAGTTTGCTGAGGGGGTGTGCACATGTACACTGTATATAATAGCATGATCAGAGAAGGCTTGTTTCCTACAGCATTCTCAATACATAGTAATAATTAATAATTTAATCTATTATTATCTTAAATTGGTATTTGACACATTGTGATTGTAAATCTTACTTCCCAAGCTAGATTGCAGTAACAATGATAATTATTGTTTTGGCTAACATACATTGAGTATTTAAAATATGCCAGTTATTGTATTAGGCAATTCATGTGTATTTTATCATTTAATCCTTAGAACAAAATAGGTATTTTTATTATTATCTTATTTTATTCAAGATAAGGAAATAAGGACGTAGAGTCAAACTAAGATACTTTCTTTAAGTCAGACAATTAGTAAATGGCAGAGTTGGGACTAAAATCCAAGTCCGCAGATACTGAGGTGTGGTATATTAATTACCACGATAAACTCTTTCTTGGGGAGAGGGATCATATTTTACGAGACTTGGTATCATTACAGAGTAATAAACAATGCTTTCCACATACTTAACAATTCCCTGATAGTGAGTAACTGAATACGTGAAACTTGGGTCATTCGGTAAGTATTACACTTCCTTAGGAGCAGCTTTTCAGTTTTAGCATAAACTTAACTAGCACCTGAAGACTAATCTTGGAAACACAGACCCTTGGATTGAAAATCCTATTTAAAAGTATTTCAAATCTATAGTTTGTAATATGACGTATCATCAATTTGTTCCTAACTGACACCAGGTCGTATGCATATGCTTTCCTACTCAGGACCCTTGGTTTTGGGTAAACCTCATACCAGCAATTGCCCATTTTGAACTTATATTCTTTCACTCAAATGATTTTGACTCAAATACCAAAAATATTCAATGACAGGATGTATAGATCAGAGAGTTGTTAGAGAGTAGAAAATTTAATAAAATCAATTAATCGTGGACCTCCTGTCATAGAATTACAGTTAGATTTCAGATATTTTAAAGACCAAAAGGATAATGCTGATGAAAGTCTAAATTTTAATCTTACATATAAAAGAAAAATTGGGGAATTAAATAACATTTTTACTACAAACAAAATCTTGGATGTCAATAACAACTTTCCTTGCATAATTATTCAATTAGTTACACTAACAGTGGAAACTTTAGGCAACAGGTAATTCAAAGGAGCAGCTTAAAAATATATATATTTGATTCAGAATATACTTCAGCATTGTTTTTATTATGGTTTTCTTAGGAAGAAATTAAAAGTTAGTTGACTTCTGTGACTTAATTTACTGCTCAACTTTCTTACTGCTGGGTAAAACCAGCATCTTCTCTTAAGACATTCATACTGAGATACTACTTGAAATCAGAGCTTAACAAGCACCAGTTTATAAATTTGTTGGTTCTCACTTTTATTGGAACTCATTGATAACTTTTTGATCTCCAGATCTGGCCAGAAGTATATTATTTAAATAAAAGATCCTTTAAAAAAAAGGTCCTTAGGCCAGGGAATGAGGTGTTACTGTCAATAAAAACTTATTTTTGATTCAGATAATCTTAAATGTGTATAATACACTTGTAGATAACTGAGAGTTGGCTTTAAAAATTATGTCTTGGATGCTATACTGCTAAAATTGTGAAATATAAACCTGAATATCAAGGTTACATTTCATGGGCTTACATGAAAACCATCTGAGATGAAATCGAACTCTGATGGCTTTGTTGTGGCTTGAGAACATCATGATGCTTTAAGGATATAAAAGAGGAGAAGTAGAAGGTTTCCCTGTAGGAGATACTACTCTGGGAGCTGAAAAGGAATTATTTAGTTAGGGGGAAAATGTAAAGAGTTACATGTCCAAGAAGACTGAATGGCAAAGGCCCTGTGGTAGAAGAGAACGATGATATTTTTAAAAAATTGAAACTAAAAAATAAAAGAATGAGTGGTAGGCTGTAATAATGCTCCTGCTTATCCTTGAAGATGTACATGTCCTAATTCCTGGAATCCGTGAATGTTACTTTACATAGCAAGGAGGACTTTTCATATGTGATTAGGGATCCTGAAATGGGGAAATGATTGCCCTGGGCACAATATAATCACAAGAGTCCTTATAAAAGGAGGATGAAGGGTAAAAGTCAGAGAGGCCATGTAATGATGGAAGCAGAGGTTAGAGTGATGAGGCCATAGCCAAGGAATGCTGGTAGTTTACAGAACTGGAAAATGGATTCTCCTGTAAAGCTTCCAGAAGGAACCAGTATTGCTGATACCTTGACCTTAATCCTTTGAGATCCTGACTGTGGACCTCTGACCTCTAGAATTATAGGGAAATAATTTATGTTATTTTAAGCCACTAAGTTTGTGGTGATTTTTTATAGCAGTAACAGAAAAATAATATAAAATTAGTCACATATCACTTGTATAATTTAAAGAAAAAAGAAAATACCAACCATTCAAGTAGAATTGATGAATTCTTGCCATGGAATTATATTAACATAGTAAATTACAGAAGGTATTATAAAATAATACATTGTTATAGAATAAAGGGAAATAATAAAACATAAGTATCATTAAATTTTCCACACTTACAACATACCAAGATGATTCAGTATTTTTTGTATACGTTATAAAAGTATATTGTCAATAGATTACACGTGGTAAAATGAGGTCTTTGACTACTTTATATTTTCAGTTGAACATCAAGGATATTGCTAGTAACATGAACTGTAAGGTTTTATTTCATATATATACTTACATGAAATTATATATATCTGGTATTAAATATTACGTATTACACTGTTGGTGGGAATATAAACTCGTGCAGCAACTATGAAGAATAGTAT
This sequence comes from Homo sapiens, assembly GCF_000001405.40. Lineage (NCBI taxonomy): Eukaryota > Metazoa > Chordata > Mammalia > Primates > Hominidae > Homo > Homo sapiens. The sequence goes on along the minus strand of NC_000011.10, from coordinate 31,707,154 downwards.
GAAGGGTTCTCAAGAAACTGCAAATGAAACTACCATATGATCCAGCAATCCCACTACTGGGAATTTCTCCAAAGGAAAGGAAATCATTACATTAAAGAGACATCCGGACATCCACGTCTACTGCAGCACTATTCACGATAGCTAAGATATGAAGTCAACCTAGGTGTCCAAAAAAAGATGAATAAAGAAAATGTGGTGTATACATACACAATGGAATAATATTTAGCAATAAAAAAGAATGTAATCCTGACATTTGCAGCAATGTGGATGGAACTGGAGGACATTATATTAAGTGAAATAAGCCAGGAACAGAAAGTTAAACACCACCTGTTCTCACTCATATGTGGGAGCTAAAAATGTTCATGTCATAGAAGTATTATAAAAAGTAGAACACAGGTACTAGATGTTGGGATGGGTAGGTGGAAGGGAAGGCGAGGCAGAGACTTGTTAAAGGATGTACATTTATAGCTAGATAGAAGTTATAGTGTTCTTTTTTTGAAAATATTAGATAAAAGTTAAAATATATGAATTAAATATATAAATATATAAAATTAATTAAATTAAATATATCATTAATTATTAATTATATTAATTTAATATATTAAATTAAATATATAAACAAATTAAATTAATTACATATATAAATATATAAAAATAAATATAACATTTAATTAAAACTTTTTTTTGGTAGAGATGGGGTCTCACTATATAGACTAGGCTGGTCTTGAAGTGCTGGCTTCAAGCAATCTTCCCACCTTGGCCTCTCAAAAGTGTTGGGATTATAGGCATGAGCCACCATGTCTGGCCTTAAGTTCTAGTACTCTATACCACTGTAGGATGACTAGAGTTGAAAATAATATATCATTTCTAATAGTAGAAGGAAGATATTAAACATTCCCAGCACAACGAAATAATAAACGTTTGAGATGATAGGCATGCTAATTATCCTGAGCTAATCCCTATGTATTTATTAAATGCATCAAAACATTACTATGTGCCCTATGAATATGTACAATTATTATATGTCAATTTAAAAAGTAAAAAAATACAACATACAAAAATGCAACGTATTTTTATTAAAAATATTATATTCATGACCAGCCTTGGAAATCCTTTATTTATAAAAAATAAAAAATCAGCCAGGAGTGGTGGTGTGCATCTGCAGTCCTAGTTACTCAGGAGGCTGAGGCAGGAGGATCACTTGAGCCTAGGAGTTTGAGGTTACAGTGAGCTATACTTGTGCCACTGCACTCTTGCCTGGGTGACAGAGCAAGACCCTGTCTCTAAAAAAATAAACAAACAAAATTTAAAAAAAATTATGTATTGTATGTATAGAAATATATCAGTCTGAAAATTTACCATGTAGAATGTCAAACATTTATGATGTTTAAATATCACAAAGGTTAATGCAGATTTCTTGTCTCTAGAGAAATTAATAGACATATTGATAATGGTGGTCCACTTTTTCCTTTAAGAGAAAGTTAGAACTAAGACATAACCATTATTATCATTTATTAACATTGGTAATAACTACAGTTGCAGAGGAATTTTAATCTGCAATATTTTTTGAATAATTAACATGTCAAAATAAAAAGATTCTGAACCTGTATGTTTAAGTGTATAAAGCAGTAGTTTTAAAATCTGTGTTTGTCGCAATCCAAAGTTCCTAGCAACAAAGCAATTAAACATAAGTACATTTATATGGTATTCTGGTTTGAATGTGTCCCTCAAATTTCATGTGTTGGAAACTTAGTCCCCAAATTCATATGTTAATGGTATTTGACAGTGGGGCTTTTGGGCGGTAATTAGGATTAGATAAGGTCATCAGGGTGGGGCCCCATGATGGGACTGGTGGCTTTATAAGAGGAGGAAGAGAGACCTGAGCTGACATGCTCTTGCCCTCTCACCATGTGGTGTTCTCTGCCATATTATGATGCAGCAGGAAGACCCCTGCCAGATGTTGGCACCATGCTCTTGGACTTCCCAGTCTCCAAAACCATGAGCCAAATAAACTTCTGTTCTTTATAAATTACCCAGTTTCTGGTATTCTATTATAGCAACCAAAAATGGACTAAGACATATGTTGACTTAGGAAGTCAGAAAATAATCCTTAAGTCATATACTATATAATTTTTTTTTTTTTTTGAGATGGAGTCTCGCTCTGTTCCCAGGTTGGCGTGCAGTGGCGCGATCTCAGCTCACCACAACCTCTGCCTCCCAGGTTCAAGCGATTCTCCTGCTTCAGCCTCCCAAGTAGCTGGGACTATAGGCGCGCACCACCATGCCCGGCTAACTTTTGTATTTTTAGTAGAGACGGGGTTCCACCATGTTGGCCAGGCTGGTCTCGAATTCTTCACCTCAGGTGATCCACCCACCTCGGCCTCCCAAAATGCTGGATTACAGGCATGAGCCACCAAGCCTGATCTATATAATCTTTAAGTCATAAACAAGAGTAGTGTTTTCTATGATCTAAATCAAAATTTATTTTTTATTTTTTAATTTTAATTTTTTTATTTTTATTATACTTTAAGTTCTAGGGTACATGTGCACAACGTGCAGGTTTGTTACATATATATACATGTGCCACGTTGGTGTGCTGCACCCATTAACTCGTCATTTACATTGGGTATATCTCCTAATGCTTTCCCTCCCCCCTCCTCCCACCCCACAACAGGCCCTGGTGTGTGATATTCCCCTTCCTGTGTCCAAGTGTTCTCATTGTTCAATTCCCACCTACGAGTGAGAACATGCGGTGTATGGTTTTTTGTTCTTGCGATAGTTTGCTGAGAATGATGGTTTCCAGCTTCATCCATGTCCCTACAAAGGACATGAACTCATCCTTTTTTATGGCTGCATAGTTTTAAGAAATAAAGATAGGAGTTTTGTGTCTTCTGTTTGAATTAACCATGTGAGATTTTTTTTTTTTTAGTTGCTGAGAAGTTTTTCTATTTTCAAACAGATACAAATCCAAACTACAAGAACAGGATCTGAAATAATAAGAGATAATTTGCCTTGATGCATTTGTGGTAAGACAATTGCACTGCAAACTAAATTTTTTTTTTTTAAATTCTATTACTATTGTAAGCAGAACAAATGCCCAGATGGCATGGGCCATAAAAATATAATTAAGCTTTACAATATTGTTACTATCAGATCTCAGAAGTGTGCTGTAGCTTAAGTTAGAGTGCTGAATATGTGAGTGCATATAACATTTTTGAATTTTAATTTTTTGGACATATATATTCAAGTTGAAATGTTTACCAGTTTCAAATGATTTCTATTTTCTGCCATATTCTTGGCCTTCAGTTTCAAACAATTTGAGAATTACTTTAGGAGAAGGCATATTAACTAGAAGATAAAACAATTGCACTAATTCTTATTTTTCAATCAGGAAACACTTTGATTTCCTTAAAAACATATAATAATGTGAAATACTGCCACAAGATCACCAATAGAGAAATCACAGGCTTGCTCTAGGACAGCTGGATAATCACAACTAAGGTGTAAGGTACCTGGAGAGAAGAGTTTAAGGGTAACTTGTACCTTGAAGAGAAGAGATTTAGGCGACAATCTTTTAAGGTTTCTTTTTGTCTAGTTACTTTCCATTTCAATAAAATGGTGACAATAAGAGCAAATTAGGTAACTGCTTCAAATTCTCTCATAAATGAAGCAAAGTATATAGATTATGTTAAAAATATTCATATTTTACTCATACTTTGAAAAACACTGGCTAATGTTTTTGATCAATTATAATTGCTTAAAACTAGCAGAGTCACAGTATATATAAATAAAGAGGTGATCTAAATCTGAAAAGGTGTCATAACTGTTTTAGAATATCTGGGGATAGCTGGGCAATAAAGGTTGTTCCACAGAAACACTGGCATGCTGCACCCCCTGTCTTCTTTTCACTGTTCCCCTTGCTTAGCAAGCTTGCTGACTATGCCACTGGTGCAAGGCCTAGGAGGCTGAAGAGGTCCTAGGAGACCAAACACGTAGTCACTGGATCCTCTGCATGTGTCATGCTTAGCAAGTCAAGTACAAAGTAAACAAAGAGAATGCAGGCAGTGACTATAAGATGTAACCCACACATGCAGCCCCCAAAGGACAACCAAAAATTAAAAGGAGCTTTGGTGTGTTAACTCATCTGCAATGTCTAATAAAAAGTGCTAGCAGCTATAATTTCCTGAGTGATTTTAATGAATTTAACTGTTCTAAGTGCTTTACATAATATTTATTTTCCCAATAAAATTTGAAGTAAATATTATTACATTAACTGGTCCATCTAACAACCTTTTGATATAGGCATTGATATCCTCATTTTATACATAAGAAAATGAAAGTTTAGAGGAGTTAAGTATCTTATACAAGGTCACATAGCTAAAAAATACCTGAAGGCAATTAAAAAACTTTCAGAGATTTTTTATAGCCAGAATGTACACCTAACACAGTAAAACTAACATATATTAAATGAATAATAGTATATGTTAAGGTTAAAGACTAAATGCTAACTAATGTCTATGATAAGGGAGAAACACCTACAGATGAAAAACTACGAATCAGATTTTAAATATATACACAGTGGTAAAATATACATAGCATAAAATTTATCTCTTAACCATTCTTAAATGTACAGTTCAGTGGCATTAAGTACTGAACTGTACATTTAAAAGTTGTATGTTGTTATGCAACTTTTACCATTATCCATTTCCAGAACTTTTTCATCCCAAATTGAAACTCTGTATCCATTAAACAATAAATTCCATTCTCCTCTCCCTGACATGTTTTAATTCAAGCCTAATTATTATTGTTATTATTATTATTATTATTGTTATTGTTATTATTATTATTTTTAGAGACAAGATCTCGCTCTGTTGCCCAGACTGGAGTGCAGTGGCCCAATTACAGTTTACTGCAGCTTTGAACTCCTGGGTTCAAGTGATCCTCCTGCCTCAGTCTCCTGAGTAGCTGGGTCAGGTGTGTGGCACCATGCCTGGCTCAAGTCTAATTACTTGTTTAATCAACATCTCAAAATCTCAGTGCTTAAAGTCTTTCCATCTCAACATGTGTAAACATATACAATTATAGGAGACTAAAAAGTTCACATTTGGAAATGCAACTATAACTTTATTTACTAAGTAGATTTAAAAGGACAGTCAGAAACATAATTCATCAATATATTATTCGCTTCGTACTGTGGCTAACAGTTGATATTCAATTTTTGGGAATAATATATAAACACTAAAGTTATGTATGCTGAGAAATAAAGGTATACTATCAGGTGTTTATAATATAAAATGTTTTTGTTTACCCATTTTAAAAAATGTTGTCTTTACTGATCAGTATTGAAAATCTACCTCTTATTATATTAGGTAAAATAAAATTTACCAAGGCTCAAGTTGGAAAAATAGATTAAAATATATATAATGTGTGTATATATATTTATTATATATATATTAGTCTATAAAACCATGAAATATATATAGGGCTTAAGTTAATTAACTGAAAATACAGGAAAAAACATAACTGGCTTGGCAATAGGAGCAGAAAAAAGCAGTTTTAGAACCCAGGAGACAGAGCTATTATAAAATTATGTTTAGGCAATAGCTTTTGACATAAATTTAAATAGGATACAATATCTGTGCCCCAAGATAAATTGAGTGAGATTAGAAGCTAATTAAGGCAATAGCATGATTCTACTAATAAAAAATCTTATTTTAAATATGTAGGTGTAAAATTAGAATACTTCATGGGTACTTCCAGAAAATCTTTTAAAAGGAATTAAAGAATAAGAGCAAGATACAAGGAGCTTATCAAAATCCCATTTAAGCAATGTGACAGCTTAGTTTTTATAATATTAAGTCCTCAAAATGGACTTTATATTGGCTATATAACAGAAAATATCCAAAAAGTTTTATTTTCCTGGTAAGACAAGGAAATTTTAAAAAGGAAAAGAAACTGCTTGAGCATGAAGTCCTTAAATATATGCAAAATGGTATGAGCAAATACAGAATGCAGAGAAGGCTATTTTCCTACACAGAGGTTCAAGTCATTGGCTATTTGAAACATTAAAAACACATTAGCCACTATGGCTAATCAAGTGATTGGTAAATCAGATTTTAAAAAGGTACTGCTTGAAATCCAAGGGTATTTTAACCTTGTAAAGAGGAAGGAAATCTTACAGGATAAGAGAATTAGCATGGGATGAAAACCACGGAGGAGAGGAAGAAATCTACTCACTCTCACATTTATACTATATATGACATAGGCAAGGAGAAAGAAAAAGGTTTTCTAGTATTTCTTTCTACATTCTCATTGCATACCAATGAGAACATTCTTATATTCTCATTGGGTTGCATTTGAAAACTGCAACACAGAACATGCCCTCTTGGTGAATCTAATGATGCAGCTCTAAGGGAAATTTTTGTAAATCTGACACTTTCCTGAATCAACTCCCAAAAGTCAGAATTTGAATACACATGTCCCTATCTTGAGTAAGTAATCTTTTCCAGCTGTCTTCCAAGGACTACTGGGGAGGGAATCAAGAGATCTTGGTTCTGTTACTTCCTGTGTGAGACTGGGAAAACGTACTTATTTGGGCCAGGATACCTTATACAGACCCACAGCCTTTATTCTCAATTCCAAAAATCCAAAAATCTCTGAAAATCTTAACTCGTTTGTCTACATGGACATAAAGCTATTTATAGTTTTTATTAACCTGACTTACTGTGACTACTCATATTATTATTACATAAATATTAATGTTTATGATGTATTTATTACCTTTTCAGTGATCATTTTAGAATAACTCATTTTGAAGTATTTTCAAACACAGAAAAGTATGCCAGAACAAAACAAAGAATTCCCATATCCCTATCACCCAGATTCCCCAATTTTTAATTTTTCATTTGCTCCATTTTTCTTTTTTTTTAAAAAAATAGATACACTCCCCTAAGCATATACGTATACCCATAATTAGTCTTTTCTGAAGTATCCAAGAACAAGCAGCAGACATGATTCCTATCAACCCTAAATACTCCAGTACTTCTTAAGACAAGGACATTCTTCTACAGAATCACCATATAAGCCTTTGAGTCAGAAAATCAACATTTATACAACACTACTATCAATCTACAGACATCATTCAAACTTTGTCAACTGCCCCAGTATCGTCAGGACATTCATTCTCCTCCCATATTCTCAGTCTCTCCAGGTCTTTCATGTTCTTGACATTTTTCCAAAGATACAGAACCTTCATTCTGTAGGCTAATCATAAACTTAGATCTATCTACTATTTCCTCATGATCATGCTTTTTGGGCAGGGAAACCACTAACATGATACTCTGCTCTTTTCAAGGCTACACATCAAGGTGATGTGCCATACATGAAGTTGACCCACTTGTGATGTCAACCTTGATCATCTGGTCATATTGTTCAGAAAATTTCTCCACTGTCATGTCATCCCTTAGTAACTAACTAGTAGTGCATAAGGGAGATATTCTGAGATTATGTCAATATCGTTTTCCTCATTAAACCTCATCAAACCCACAAGCCAGGCCTCAGTCTCCATTGAAAACTTCCATCTGAATTGAACTATGGGTGATGAACTATGACTGTCAAATGGTGATTTTCTATTTTTATCATTCCTTCGAGGTTTAATAGTTGGTATTCTATGGCAGGGAAGAGATTTCTTTTCCTACCTAACTATGCATCCATCTATCTCAGTATGGGCTCATGAATTTCCATTTTATTTAATGTTTTCCATTATTAATTTCGATGCTCAAATTTCCCAGACTGGCTAGTAGGAACCTCTTTGAATTAAATCCTGGGCCATGTTTTTTCATGCTCCTACTGTTCTTTGAGTATCTCCTTACTTTCTGGCACAAATTTTAGTCTCATTTTATACCTTCTGTGCCTCAATCCTAGAATTAGCTATCTTGCCAAGAGGCTTCCCTCCTCTTCACTTCTTTTTTATTTTTTGTGGAGGAAGAGACTCAGAAACCAATATTTGGGTACTTGGAGTATTCCCTAGGGTTGTCATTGCTTCTAGGCTCTTCAGAAGAGAAGGTTAAGAAATACACACATATATAGTACATAAACTCACATACAGATACATCTATTTCTACATGTATATTGTTGTGTGTGCTTGAGTGTGCATGGTGTATAATCATGACCATTTATTTGTTCTAAAATCATTTCTTTCAAATTTCAAGCAATGTTTTATACTGTAGCAGGCTTTGATGAACAAATTTTTATTCACTATATTCATGTGCTCCATGGTAATATGTATTTTGATGTTAATCTCTTTTAGCCTTAGTCTTGTAAGATCTTCATACAGCAATCACCTCCTCCTCATTCCATTTCCATAACTGTATTAATAAAGAAGATTCTGCTGAGGTCAGAGAATCAGGTAGAAATATAGGAAAAATATAATTTAAAATTTCCAGGTCAGGCATGGTGCTCATGCCTGTAATCCCAGCACTCTGGGAGGCTGAGAGGGGTGGATCACTTGAGGCCAGGAGTTCAAGACCAGCCTGGCCAATATGTTGAAACCCTGTCGCTACTAAAAAGACAAAAATTAGCCAGGAGTGGTGGCCCACGCCTGTGATCCCAGCTACTCGGGAGGCTAAGGAGGGAGAATCGCTTGAACCCAGGAGATGTAGGTTGCAGTGAGTAGAGATCTCACCACTGCACTCCAGCCTAGGTGACAAAGTGAAACCCTGTCTCAAAAAAAAATTTTTCTATGGCTGTCGCAATGTAATTGTAAGCATATACATAGGAAATGTATATACTTTGTGTTCATTAGTAATATTAAAGTACAAAAAGATATAAATAAAACATAAAAGGTTTGAAAGAGGTTTTAATTAATTAAAATCTGCTCAATAAATAACTTACAGAAAGATAAGGTGTTTATTTAAAACAGGCTTATATGACTAAAATTTATCAGTTTAATACAAATATGTGTTTAAAGTTTCAACTTTGAGTATACTATGCATATTTTATACCAGATTAGACTAACACGCCACCCCCGCTACAGCTGGGAAGGTTAAACAACAGTATGCAAATCTGAATTGGATATAACAGCTGTTCAAATGCCAGGGCGTACTTTACTTAAAAATGTGACCATTTAGTTCTGTTAAATATAAACTGCTGTTCTAGCTATGTGTATTATTTTCCTTAAAAAATCCTTTTAAAAAAAAAGCATTTTCTGATATGTAGTAGAAGCACTACTAAAGTTCAATGGGTTTTTTTTTAACTTTTTCTTTCTCAACTTTCTGAAAAAATGAATGAGACAATTCTCTTCTTCATCTCTTACATCCTATTCATCTCATCAGCTGCTTTTGTTAATATAAAAATATTATAAATAATCATTGGAAGAGTGGTATTTCTTTTGATGAGACCCTGATTGCATTTCAAGTCCTCATTTTAGACAGAAACAAGTTTAGACATTTTTAATAGTGGACAATAATTCCACCCTGACTACGTGGTATACATGTTAAATTATGAGTTGTGTAAGTACCACTCTCAAGGATAAAATCAAGAAATAAAGTCCTGAAGTTTCCAAGAATGACTACAAATACTTTATTTACAGAATGTCATCATCATTAAAAGTCTGTAAGATTATTTGTAAATGAAGGAGGTGGCCCGTTTTTCAATTTCTTGGGACCTAGAATTTTAGTAAGATGATTTTAAACAAATTGCTTTTGAGAGAAGCCTGCTTAATCTGGTATCAAAAAAAACCCAAGAAACAAAAAAGAGGCTTTCCTCTTCCATTATAATACAGAAACTGAAATGAAAGCCCTGATGTAGAGAAAACCCAATTATAATACAAGAAATGTAAAAGCTAGGTACTAGAGCTATTATTATCCTACTGGAAATGGAAACGAAGACTTAGAGATAACTCTTCTAAAGTCACACAGGAAGTCAGCAGCTGCTCAATAAGAAACCAGTTTATTGTGTGGGAGTCTAAGTCTCTTTGTAGGTCTCTAAGGACTTGCTTTATGAATCTGGGTGCTCCTGTATTGGGTGCATATATATTTAGGATAGTTAGCTCTTCTTGTTGAATTGATCCCTTTACCATTATGTAATGGCCTTCTTTGTCTCTTTTGATTTTTGTTGGTTTAAAGTCTGTTTTATCAGAGAGTAGGATTGCAACCCCTGCCTTTTTTTGTTTTCCATTTGCTTGGTAGATCTTCCTCCATCCCTTTATTTTGAGCCTATGTGTGTCTCTGCACGTGAGATGAGTCTCCTGAATATGGCACACTGATGGGTCTTGACTCTTTATCCAATTTGCCAGTCTGAGTCTTTTAATTGGAGTATTTAGCCTATTTACATTTAAGGTTAATATTGTTAGGTGTGAATTTGATCCTGTCATTATGATGTTAGCTGACTATTTTGCTCATTAGTTGATGCAGTTTCCTCCTAGCATGGATGGTCTTTACAATTTGGCATGTTTTTGCAGTGGCTGGTACCGGTTGTTCCTTTCATGTTTAGTGCTTCCTTCAGAAGCTCTTGTAGGGCAGATTCTTCTCAGCACCACATCACACTTATTCCAAAATTGACCACATAGTTGGAAGTAAAGCACTCCTCAGCAAATGTAAAAGAACAGAAATTATAACAAACTGTCTCTCAGACCACAGTGCAATCAAACTAGAACTCAGGATTAAGAAACTCTCTCAAAATCACTCAACTACATGGAAACTGAACAACCTGCTCCTGAATGACTACTGGGTATATAACAAAATGAAGGCAGAAATAAAGATGTTCTTCGAAACCAATGAGAACAAAGACATAACATACCAGAATCTCTGGGACACATTTAAAGCAGTGTGTAGAGGGCAATTTATAGCACTAAATGCCCACAAGAGAAAGCAGGAAAAATCTAAAATTGACACCCTAACATCACAATTAAAAGAACTAGAGAAGCAAGAGCAAACACATTCAAAAGCTAGCAGAAGGCAAGAAATAACTAAGATAAGAGCAGAACAGAAGGAGATAGAGACACAAAAAACCCTTCGAAAAATCAATGAATCCAGGAGCTGGTTTTTTGAAAAGATCAACAAATTTAATAGACCACTAGCAAGCCTAATAAAGAAGAAAAGAGAGAAGAATCAAATAGATGCAATAAAAAATGATAAAGGGGATATCACCACGAATGCCACAGAAATACAAACTACCATCAGAGAATACTATAAACACCTCTACACAAATAAACTAGAAAATCTAGAAGAAATGGATAAATTCCTCAACACATACACCCTCTCAAGACTAAACCAAGAAGAAGTTGAATCCCTGAATAGACAAATAACAGGCTCTGAAATTGAGGCAATAATCAATAGCTTACCAACCAAAAAAAGCTCAGGATCAGATGGATTCACAGCCGAATTCTACCAGAGGTACAAGGAGGAGCTGGTACCATTCCTTCTGAAACTATTCCAATCAATAGAAAAAGAGGAAATTCTCCCTAACTCATTTTATGAGGCCAGCATCATCCTGATACCAAAGCCTGGCAGAGACACAACAACAACAACAAAAAAAGATAATTTTAGACCAATATCCCTGATGAACATCTATGCAGAAATCCTCAATAAAATGCTGGCAAACCAAATCCAGCAGCACATCAAAAAGCTTATACACCACGATCAAGTTGTCTTCATCCCTAGGATGCAAGGGTGGTTCAACATACGCGAATCAATAAATGTAATCCATCGTATAAACAGAACCAAAGACAAAAACCACATAATTATCTCAATAGATGCAGAAAAGGCCTCCGAAAAAATTCAGCAGCCGTTCATGCTAAAAACTCTTTGATAAATTAGGTATTGATGGGACATATCTCAAAATAATAAGAGCTAGTTATGACAAACCCACAGCCAATAACATACTGAATGGGCAAAAACTGGAAGCATTCACTTTGAAAACTGGCACAAGACAGGGATGCCCTCTCTCACCACTCCTATTCAACATAGTGTTGGAAGTTCTGGCCATGACAATCAGGCAGGAGAAAGAAATAAAGGGTATTCAATCAGGAAGAGAGGAAGTCCAATTGTCCCTGTTTGCAGATGACATGATTGTATATCTAGAAAACCCCATTGTCTTGGCCCAAAATCTCCTTAAGCTGATAAGCAAGTTCAGCAAAGTCTCAGGATACAAAATCAATGTGCAAAAATCACAAGCATTCTTATACACCAATAACAGACAGAGAGCCAAATCATGAGTGAACTCCCATTCACAACTGCTTCAAAGAGAATAAAATACCTAGGAATCCAACTTACAAGGGATGTCAAGGACCTCTTCAAGGAGAACTACAAACCACTGCTCAATGAAATAAAAAAGGATAAAAACAAATGGAAGAATATTCCATGCTCATGGATAGGAAGAATCAATATCGTGAAAATGGCCGTACTGCCCAAAATAATTTATAGTCAATGCCATCCCCATTAAGCTACCAATGACTTTCTTCACAGAATTAGAAAAACTACTTTAAAGTTCATATGGAACCAAAAAAGAGCCCGCATTGCCAAGACAATCCTAAGCCAAAAGAACAAAGCCAGAGGCATATCGCAGCCTGACTTCAAACTATGCTACAAGGCTACAGTAACCAAAACAGCATGGTACTGGTACCAAAACAGAGATATAGACCAATGGAACAGAACAGAGCCCTCAGAAATAATACCACACATCAACAACTATCTGATCTTTGACAAATCTGACAAAAACAAGAAATGGGGAAAGGATTCCCTATTCAATAAATGGTGCTAGGAAAACTGGCTAGCCATATGTAGAAAGCTGAAACTGGACCCCTTCCTTACACCTTATACAAAAATTAATTCAAGCTGGATTAAAGACTTACATGTTAGACCTAAAACCATAAAAACCCTAGAAGAAAACCTAGGCAATACCATTCAGGACATAGGCATGGGCAAGGACTTCATGTCTAAAACACCAAAAGCAATGGCAACAAAAGCCAAAATTGACAAATGGGATCTAATTAAACTAAAGAACTTCTGCACAGCAAAAGAAACTACCATCAGAGTGAACAGGCAACCTACAGAATGGGAGAAAATTTTTGCAATCTACTCATCTGACAAAGGGCTAGTATCCAGAATCTACAAAGAACTCAAACAAATTTATAAGAAAAAAACAAACAACCCCATCAAAAAGTGGGCGAAGGATCTGAACAGACACTTCTCAAAAGAAGACACTTATGCAGCCAAAAGACACATGAGAAAATGCTCATCATCACTGACCATCAAAGAAATGCAAATCAAAACCACAATGAGATACCATCTCATACCAGTTAGAGTGGCGATCATTAAAAAGTCAGGAAACAACAGTTGCTGGAGAAGATGTGGAGAAATAGGAACACTTTTACACTGTTGGTGGGACTGTAAACTAGTTCAACCATTGTGGAAGACAGTGTGGCAACTCCTCAAGGATCTAGAACTAGAAATACTATTTGACCCAGCCATCCCATTACTGGGTATATACTCGAAGGATTACAAATCATGCTGCTATAAAGACACATGCACACGTATGTTTACTGCACCACTATTCACAATAGGAAAGACTTGGAACCAACCCAAATGTCCATCAATGATAGACACTGGATTAAGAAAATATGGCACATATACACAATGGAATACTATGCAGCCATAAAAAAGGATGAGTTCATGTCCTTTGTAGGGACATGGATGAAGCTGGAAACCATCATTCTCAGCAAGCTATTGCAAGGACAAAAAACCAAACACTGCATATTCTTACTCATAGGTGGGAATTGAACGATGAGAACACTTAGACACAGGAAGGGGAATATTACACACCCAGGGCTGTCATGGGGTTGGGGGAAGGGGGGAGGGTTAGCATTAGGAGATATACCTAATGTAAATGACGAGTTAATGGGTACAGCACACCAACATGGCACATGTATACCTATGTAACAAACCTGCATGTTATGCACATGTACCCTAGAACTTAAAGTATAATAATAATAATAATAAAAAAACGAGTTTAAGATTATTTCCATTCAGCACGTTACTCCTTTGGGTGGGCAGTGGAGAGTCTACGTCCCTTGCTTCCTTCCCTAATAAACATGGGGCACGAGCCATGTGTCAGAAACTCTGCTAGGCTTGGAAGAATCAGCGATAAACAAGACACTTGTGGTCTCTATTTACGGAATTGAGTATTTAAGTAGGGGATGATAAAAGTAATTGCAATCTAGTGTGGTTACTGCTATGATAGAGAAAATACAGGATGCTACCAGAGCATAAACGGAGGTATTCAATCTAGACTTGGTGTGGATCATAGAAGCCCTGAGGGAGACAGTGATATTTAAACTGCAGCCTGAAGGATATGCAGAAGTTAGCCTGGCTGAGACCACAGTGGTAGGAGGTGGAGAGGGTGTTACATTGGGGCTGTTGCTCCAATCAGAGGCAACATCATGTGTGAATGAGCCTTCGAGGAATTGGAATTAAGTAGAGCACAGGAAAACTCCTGTTTTGCTGATCTCCTGCTTTTCTGCAAAGCCAAGGTACAGAACTGGGAGCTGTCACTGTGTACTCTTCCAAAATGAGCAATGGAGCAAGAAGTAGAGTCAATGTGCTGGGGTAGCTAGGACTTTACTGTGCCCTTGCAAATGAAAAATTGATGGCGTACTTTTCTACACAAAGATTAGGTCAATTCAGAAACTGTTCTTTAAATAGTTTTCAAAATTCATTATTTATAGTAGTAGGGCAACAGTGAGTAGGGAAAACATTCTATCACTAGAAGTACTTAATGTTTTTTAGATTCTAGATCATAGCACTTACTGACCATATTAACTTAGGCTAGTTATATTGTATCTTTCAATTTCCTACCCATTAAGACGAAGGTCTGAAAACCATGGTCTGTACTTTCCTCCCCAACTCTAATATTTGGGCTACATTAATAATATAACTATCAGGATCATAGTATCAAAACACTGCTACTTGACAGCCCTGGATTCCTTCAAGTTAGTTTAGAAATTTTCCAATTCAACCAGAGCAGCTCCAGTATTGTTAGATTTCTTTATTGGACTTCTGAGTAAGAAGTTTCTCAGAGTTTCACAGCTTAAAAATTTGAAAACCACTTTTCATCTCACTGTTATGTTGCATAGACAAAATGCTTAAATCCTTAGTTGCTTAAAACATGGGGGCAATTCTCCTATTGGTTTGAATGAGGCCAAATCTATGAGTTCTTTAATGATGTTTCAATATCATGTTTATTACTCACTAAGAAGTTAATGTTAAGAGATATCATAACTTCTATCACAATAACCAGCTATGTGTCATCTCAGGATGAATAACCAGCTTTGTGTCATCTGGGGATATCTAATTAGGAAAAGTGGTATGATAAATATTTACATTCCTAGTTCAAAAATTGTTATTGTAAACATTGTGCTTATTGTTTTAAATTCAGAAATCAGAAAGAAACTTCAGTCATAAACTATGTCCTTTAGTTAAACAAGTGTAAACATATGTACCATTCTATTTGGTAAGGTTAAAAAAACCACTGCCAGTAAGGCAATTCTAAATTTACCATGGATTATTTTTTTAAGCTTGAAGATAAAACTGAGGCTTTATAAATGAGAAAATGATGTACTAAAAGCAAGACACTAAATCAATTTTAAACACCAAACACAATTTATGCCTGACTTTAAAACTCATCCACAAAACATTAATCTACACAAAGGCCAGAAGCTGAATGAAGCATAATTTGTGAAACTGATACCTTTCATCACAACCTCTAACTGAAAAGGTCATTAGATATATTATATCTAAGTGAGCAGCTTATCCCTGCTTCATTACTGATAATTAAGACAAGTAATATTTTCTTGACAGTAATGTGTCCGTTAACAGATATAGTCTAGTTTGCATAAAATAAGCATTAATTACCATAGTACTATCCGAGATTTAAAAAAAAATTAAGTACTTGTGTAACATGCCTTCATCATTTTTCCCCTTAATTTCCAGGCTCAGAAAACATAATGTACACATTAAGAAATTCATCTTTAGTCATGTTTAAATTCATAAGGTACATAACAAAATAGGTATTCTGAAAAAGCAACCAATGAAAGTGAAGGTACCTGTGACTGGGTATCATTTAAATTATCTGTACTAACTTGCCTTGCTCTGAGCTATATTAAATGCCAAAAGCAGCTATTCTTTAATGTTAAGGCTTTTGAAGTCTTAATGTAGGAAATTTGGGGAAGTATAAAATTGTTTCTAAACTGACTGAAAATTAAGAAGTAGTGCAAAGAGCAAAAAAAGTACCTTTAAAAGGCCTTGAATAAGAAAAGACATGATTTGCCTTTGCTTTCTGCGGCAAAAAAAAAAAAAAAAAAAGGAAAAAAAACCCACATGAAACTAAGTACTCAGTACAGGAAACCTTAACTATTACTAGTAATGACTAGTTACTACCAGATAAGAATTTTATTGTTTTTGGCCAGAGGCAAGATTTTCAGGGCCAACATTTTCTTTAAATAAATAAGAAAGATCAAAATAAAATGAAGGTAGGAAGCTAACGGAATTATGCTTTTTTATCAACTCAGACTTTGTAAACTAATTCAGTGTAAGAGGATAAAGGTTAAATTGGGATAACTGTGTCTTGTGTATGAAGTTCTAATTTTACTTTTCCACAAAGCTATAGAAGAAACTCACATTTTAGTAGAAATAATCCATCACAATATTGCAGATATAAAATATATATATTTTTTTTTAGGAAAAAGAAGGGGTATTTGGTCAGTGACCAAACCTTATTTGAGATTGCACTGTGCGTGCTCCCTCTCACTTGAAGGAAAGTGAGGGCAGATGGACTGGATTGTGGCACAGGTTTCTTTTAATTTGCCACATCTAGAAAAGGAGGAAAGCAGCTATGCCCCAAATGTTGGCAATTTAGCTAGTAGAATGAGGTGGAAACAGATGGGCTTTTGAGTCAGCTATTCCTCTGACTGAATCTTGGCTTTGCTATTCAGCAGACATTTGATCTTGCATAAGCACTCTCTTGAGCCTCAGGTCTTTCACATGAAAAAATCAACTAATAATATTTATTCTGAAGGAATTAATCTAAGGATTAAGTGAGATAATGCATACGAAACACATGTTATTTCCTTTTCCTTCCTTCATGAGAGGAACATTAATTTTGGTTCCATTTCACAGACCACCAACATTTCCCTGGTATATGGAGGAGGTGGAGAACAGAGTATTGTTTGCTAACAAGCACTTCTCCAGGTTTCCATTAGCAGAGCAATGCTTCTTTGCCTGAGTGAAAAACCACCACCACCACCACCACAACCACAACCCTATGAGAAAGATGCTAATTATCTCTATTTAATAGGTGAGAAAACTGAAGCAGAAAGACATTATTTGCTGAGCTCACACATCCAATAAGTGGTAGAGTCAAGTTTCAAATTCAGGCTGTTGAACTACAGAGCCTCATTCTAAATCACTATACCATACTACTTCATACAGTACATAGAACATAAGATGGGAAGTCAGTGGCCACAGACTTCCTATCATAAGCAAGGAGTTGGGCAGGTGCTTTCACATAATGTAATTCTCAGTCTTTCTTCCACCCTCCATTCAGACAAATGCATCAACCCAGACAGCAATTGGGAAGGAGAAATGCACTACATCTGCCCAGTGTGTAAGCCATTTTTTTCATTCTTCTTTCTTTCTTTCTTTTTTTTTTTTTTTTTAAAGACAGGTTCTCATTTTGTGGCCCAGGATGAAGTGCAGTGACACAACTGAACCTCACTGCTGACCCCTGAACTCCTGCGCTCAAGTGATCCTTCCACCGCAGCCTTCTGAGTAGATGGGACTACAGGCGTGCACCACCATACCTGGCTAATTAAAAAAAATTTTTGTAGAGTCGAGGTCTTGCTATGTTGCCTAGGTTGGTCTTCCACTCCTGGCCTCAAGTGATCCTCTCACCACTCAGTAGGCGAGAGCCACTGCACCCAGCTTTCCATTATTTTCAAGTAAAGATGAACCTATTGAAGCTAAAGGCATTCTCACAGGACAAGATACTAATTAATAATTAATCATACTTTAATCAGTATACTAAATAGTCTATGCCTGAAAGCTTCTCAAAGAATTAAAGCGAACCCTGTGCAAGGTGCTTATGTGCCATAGAAATTTTGTTCAGCATTCCACTCAATGACAAAGTTAACAAATTGCCATAAATTAGAGAAACCAAATATATTAGTCTAGATCTAATTTACTGTTCTCCCAATGATAAGAGCTGCAAACAGGAAGTCCCCTGATTTTCCCCCCTCAAATCCTCACAAATTTGTTTTCTTTTTATGTAGGCTCAAATTAATCTAATATGTATGTAAAAGTTAGGGACTCTCACAATTTCCTATCTCAAAGGCACTTCTACATACTGTTCACTCTTCACAGGTCAGTGACTATGCATATTAGTAAAATAATAGCAATACTGGAAGTTCATTTTCTAGTATAATATTACCAATTCTACATTTCTTGAGTGTATACTCTGCTTAGCAATGTGCTGTATAGATTTTGAATATTATACAAAGTGGTACCTTCTTGTTCTATTTACTACATGAAATCTTTGACATTAATGAAACATGACACAGTACTGTATTCTAGTATGAAATTTCCTCTACTCCAATATACCTGGTAAGACTTAGTGGGGGTCAAAAAGATCAAAAGAGTGGGAGGAAAGAATGCCTGAAAGATTAGGTTTATCTTTAGATTTTAGTTCAAATTCAATTACTTGGGTTATGACTTTCAAAGGTCAATTATTTTTAGCTAAATAAGTAGAAAATTGGTCCTGGTAAGCAGGCATGTATCTCCCAGGGGTGAGGATGGAGGTGGGGATAAGGAGAAACCATTCCCTTGCATTACAGTAAATGATACAATAATTTCACATTCATATATATAAACAGCATTAGCATAACACCATTCTTTGTAGAAAGGGATGTTAACATTTAGAAGGTTGTAATTATTTTAGGAATAATGAATTTCTATAAGGCATCTGTTTTTTCCAAAGTATTTTGGTTAAAGCCTGATTTGCGTGAAAACATAAATAACCTCTTGCTCCAGACTCAGAGCATCAGGAAGCTTTAACAGATGGCCTCATTTAAAAATCATTTGTTAAGATATCTCACATTTATCCAACACGCTGTCAACGTCTTCCTTTTATTCAATCGTGATTTTACATATTTCTGTCATAAATATTTTTTAATCCTGTGCATTCATGGAAATCACACAATTTAGTATTTATACTTAATTTGGTTTGGGGGTAACCCTGATTCTTTTAAACTTATGCCATTAACTAAAGTATTATAGAATGATTAATTATAGAAAAATACAAAGTTTAATATTAACTCATGAAAATGCAATCAAAAGCAACATTTTAATCAAGGTACAAGTGGAAAAAGCAAAATAATTGAAAAATTATCTATTCTGCACCCACCTCTATTATTCTTTCCTTCTCCTTTCTTTCATTCTCAAGAATCTGGAACAGAGAGTCGATACTTGCTGTCTCTATTTCCTTACCTCCCATTCACTTTTTCTACTTTCAAAGAAATTGCAAAAGCCATTAGATCTTTAACCAACTACATGTAATTAAGGTTTTGAGCCCTATGCCCCTGAAACTTCTTGGTCAATGGTCACCTATGAGCCTCATATTGCCAAATACAATAGACTTCTCTATCTATGAGTCAACTGTTGTTTCTATTTATTGCTCAATGCATTTGGCATTGTTCATTATTCCTTCAAAATTCTCTCTTCCCTTAATTTCCATGAGACCACTCCACATGATTCTTCTGCCTTCTTCTCTTCTGAATCTAAACATGTTTTCTGATCTTACATGTTCTAATGTCTTCAACTACCAGCTATATAACAATGATTCCCAAATATACATCTCTGGATCATGTATCTCCTTAGAACAAATTCACACATCCAAATGTTCAAAGGCTATATCCACCTATATGTCCTATTCTACATGTCCCAAACTGCATCTTTTCCTATGGTCCCTATTTTAATGAAAGACACCAACCTCATCTAGTCACCCAAATCAGATATTTGGGAGCAAGTTTAGACTCCTCCTTTTCTCTTACTAAATGACTAAGTTCAGTTGATTTTATCTCATGTCTAATCATTATGATGATGGTGATGGTGATGATGATGATCACCTGGCCTCTGCAACAGTTTCCTAACTCAACTCTTGGCCTCTAGTCTTGTCACCCCACCCCACCCCCACTCCAATCTCTTTTCATACTCCTGCCAGAGTGATTTTTTTTTTTTTGAAGCAGGGTCTCACTCTGTTGCCCAGGCAGGAGTGCACTGGCATGATCTCGGCTCACTGCAACCTCCACCTCCCCAGCTCAATTGATCCTCCCACCTCAGCCTCCCAAGTAGCTGGGACCACAAGTGTCGCCACCATGCCTGGCTAATTTTGTGTAGAGATGGGGCTTCACCATGTTGCCCAGGCTGGTCTTGAACTGGGCTCAAGTAATCCGCCTGCCATGGCCTCCCCAAGTGCTAGGATTATACTTGTGAGCCACTGCACCAGGCCCAGAGTGATACTTCTAAAACACAAATCTGATTGGTAATCTCTGCATAAAATACTTTAATGGCTCCCCATTACCCATGGGAGAGAATCCAAAATTGTGAGCTGGAAATCACATCATGATCTGCCTCTCTCAGAGGGCTTCCCTCCTTTATCCATGTTTAATCTGAAGTTTTAATAAAATAGTCAGATGCTTGCATCTAATTATAGTGAATATGTTTGTACTTAAGATAATCAAGATGAGAAGCTATTCCATACCAAAAAAAAAAAAAAAAACCAACCCACAAGATCATGAAAAATCAGACATATGGTACAGGTAGAATCTAGAATAAAAATTAGTTTCAGGATAAATAATAACAGACCAGAGTTTCTTGGTATTGATTAGAGAAAGAAGGTGATAACCTTAATTGTATTAGGGCTAGCATGACAAAATAAATAATAGATTACTAATATATAAAATGTATATATTTTTCACAGGTGAGTTTGGCTTTCATTTTGACTAAGTCATAAAGCCTACAAGAAGGTTAGAAAAGGAAACTATTATAACAGACTATAGAGAAGTTGTGTGATAACCCCTTGAAAAGACAATTTCAACATATAACTTTTATACATAAACGTATTAATGTGCTATAATCATTTAACAATATATAGGAAAGATTTTTTTTTTTTTTTTTAAGATGGAGTCTCAGTCTGTTGTCCAGGCTGGAGTGCAGTGGCGTGATCTCGGATCACTGTAACCTCCGCCTCCCAGGTTGAAGTGATTCTCCTGCCTCAGCCTCCTGGCTAGCTGGGACTACAGGCGTGTGCCACCATGCCCAGCTAATTGTTTGTATTTTTAGTAGAGAAGGGGTTTCACCATATTAGCCAAGATGATCTCGATCTCTTGACCTCGTGATCTGCGCGCCTGGCCTCCCAAAGTGCTGGGATTACAGGCATGAGCCACCACACCCGGCCAGAAATATTTTTAAAATAAACTTTATTAATAAAATTCATTAAAGTCTCTGCATTTCATATGTCTTCACTAATTTATTAAAGTTTGGATACAAATCTGTTAAGTTTCAACTCTTCTGTTACAAATGTAAATCACTACACTCTTCTTGAAGTAATTGCACTATTGCATTGAAACCCATTTCAATTAACTATGTAATTGGAAATATAGAGTAAAAAAATGCACAGGTTGGGTAAATTATTCAGTAACTTTAGATTTTTTTTTTCAATTAAATTTCCTTTGCTATTTTGTTGTTGTTGTTGTTTTGAGACGGAGTCTTGCTCTGTAGCCAGGCTGGAGTGCAATGGCGCGATCTCAGCTCACTGCAACCTCAGCCTCCCAGGTTCAAGCGATTCCCTTGCCTCAGCCTCCCAAGTAGCTGGGATTACAGGCGCCCACTACCACGCCTGGCTAATTTTTTGTATTTTAGTAGAGACAGGGTTTCACCATGTTGGCCAGGATGGTCTTGATCTCCTGACCTCATGATCCACCCGCCTTGGCCTCCCAAAGTGCTGGGATTACAGGCTTGAGCCACTGCTCCCGGCCTGAACTTCCTTTGCTATTAGGACCCTTTCTTTCTGCAAAACTTTTTGTAAAAGGTTTTCAGTATTATGTCTTAAAGTACCAATTTATGCTTACGTGGGTACATATATTGAAATCATTTTATAATTTGTTTAGTAAGATCAAAATCAGGAATATCAGCAGCTCCTTGAAAGTACCCTCAGCTCCTTTCCAGACACTCCCTGTGAAGACAGTGTTCAGTGTTTCTTTCTAAAAGTCTATTGTAACAGTCTTTCATATCAGATTGCAGTCCATCTGGAATTGATTTTTGTTTACGCTGTGAAGAAGGGGTCAAGATTTACTTTTGTTTTTCATATGGATCATACGGATACCAGTTTTGACTGAGTACTATTTATTGAAAAGCACATCCTTCCCCATCTGCACTAGTGTTATTTTTGGCATAAGTCACAGGTGATCATATACGTATGGGTCTGTTTCTGGACTCTTTTCTGTCCCGTTTGGTTACAATGATCTGTCCTTGTGTCAATACCACAAATGTTGACATAGGGTAGTTCTCCTACATTGCTATGTATAAATATTATTTTTTGGGGCTGGGTGCTGTGGCTCATGCCTTTAATCCCAGCACTTTGGGAGGCCGAGATAAGTGCATCACTTGAGGTCAGGAGTTCGAGACCAGCCTGGCCAACATGGTGAAACCCCATCTCTAGTAAAAATACAAAAATTAGCCAGGGGTGGTGGCATACATCTGTAATTTCAGCTACTTGGGAGGCTGAGGCAGGAGAATCACTTGAATCCCTAAGGTGGAGGTTGCAGTGAGCCAAGATTGATCCACTGCACTCCAGCCTGGGTGACAAAGGGAGATTCTGGTTTTTTTTTTTAAGATTATCTTTTTGGTCCTTTGCATTTTTTTATTTAACAAAAATTTATGCTGGGATTTTTATAGGGACTGCATTGAATATAAACATAAACTCTGGAAGAAGTGACATACCAATTTATATTTGTAGTAGCTTTAGTTAGACTTTCAAAGTTGTGTAGGATCATAGCAGTTCTTAATTGGGTAGGACTGCACAGAGCATCGTTGAATGCCAGAATACCCTAGCCTCATGCATTAAATATTACTGATAATCACTGTAATAACCAAAACCATGTTGATATCCAAGAACTGAAAAAGTTCATCCAGTAATGTTTCTTTCCTACGGCTGAAGTCTGTAATTCCTATTGTTCATTATTTAATAATCATTTACTTAGTATCTAATAAGTGATCTTTTCTACCTCTTATCAATTTTGACATTTATATCTAGCTAATTGAATTTATCCCATAGTACAGATGGAAGAAATCTCTTTAATTATTAAATTGTGAATTCTTTAAAATAGAAACAATGTCTTATTTTTGTATCTCTAGTACCCCCTATACAGTAGGCTTTTAAATAGATGTTTAGCAAATTATCTTAATAGACCATAAAATAATTTTATTTCATCTAGAACATTAATCTTAAAATGCCCATGGCCTTGGAACCTGCAGAAATGATGATGGATTTAAATGTTCATGAAGGAAAATTTCATTGGTGTTTCACAAAATTTAGAAGAGCTTGAGCCTGTTTCATCTGTCCTGCAGTAAAATTCAAAATAATACACTCAATTTGCCAATTTGAAACTTCAACAGTATGGTCGTTTTAACACGGCTTTTAAATTATATTTTTAAAAATGGAAACCTCATACTTTGAAGTGGTACAAAAATTATAAACTAGAAAATTTTTCAAAAGCTATATGAAAATTAAAAAACTCCAAACTTTGTATTTTTAATCAAGCTTACACAAGACACCATAAAAGCTCCTAAAGAGTTGCACAGCAAAAATCTCAATGCTTACTTACAAGATATGCCATAGAAAGAAACTACACATTTGTGTGTAAAATAAGCTGTTCTAAAAATACATTACAGGCTAATGTTAATAAAACAGGATACAAAAATAGGAAGAAGAATGGTAACTAGCTAAGCTTGGGCTTTGTGGGGAGGAGAGGGAAGGTAAAGAAAAATAAGTAAATAAATTTATGTAAATATACATAAAATATTTGGCTAGTACCAAATATACTGATTCAGTGAAATATTTTGGCACTATGGGTGAAATAAAGGCATAGAATATAGACTTTCTGACCTCAAGAAACTTACCGTCAAATGGGCAAGGTGTCAAAATAAGTAATAATATAAATAGAAAGTGATGAGTACATAAATATTTGATAGTCCAAATGACTTTCAAGATGCAACTCAAATATCTTCCTTCTGTAGCTTTCCCTGAACAACTGCCTCATTATTAGTCTTTGTACAGTATTTTCATACCTAACTCTATTTTTGTATCAGTCAATTTCTATTATAGTTGTTTATATGTCAGTTTTCTCTACTAGACTATGAGCTCTTTATGGGTAGGAGTTGTGTTAATACATATTTGTATATTCACAAAAGGCCCGGCACATGGTAGTATTTCTTATACTTACTCAACTTGAGCTAATACAGTATCATACAAAATGTACAAAAATGAGGGAACTGAACAATGAATGCCAAGGTGCTAATTTTACAAATACAAAAAAAAGGTCAATTTATGATGCAACTGTCAGGCTAGGCTAGGCTCAGGGAGCAGGTGAGATTTGAAGTCAACTCTGAATATGTATGTGAGATCTCAGCAGGGGCAAAGACAGTAAGCATCCTGGAAGTGTGACCGAAGTAGTGCTACCAGACTTACTGCTTCTGCACTTTTCTAACAATAGCAGCTAGTGAGGAAGGCAAATACGTAAACAAGCACCTATGAGTCTTATTGATGGGCCACTAATATTACAGCCTTGAGTAATCTATGATTCTTCCTCCTCTTTCATCATTCAGATCCTGGCAAATATCAAGTACAGTATCAAGTACAGCTCTTCACTTAAATCTCTCTTAGATTTGTCAATAGCTTGGCTGAAACTGTTGCATAGTTGGATGGGACGCTGACATTACAGAAGCACTAAATCAACATCAGTATCTACTTACCTTTAGACTTGTTCTCTTTGAAATACAAAGCCCTAGGCCGGGCGCGGTAGCTCATGCCTGTAATTCCAGCACTTTGGGAGGCTGAGGCGGATGAATCACCTGAGGTCAGGAGTTCGAGACCAGCCTGGCCAACATGGTGGAACCCCATCTCTACTAAAAATACAAAAATTAGCTGGGTGTGGTGGTGGGCGCCTGTAATCCCAGCTACTAGGGAGGCTGAGGCGGGAGAATTGCTTGAACCCAGGAGGCGAGGTTGCCGTGAGCCGAGATCGTGCCACTGCACTCCAGCCTGGGCAACAAGAGTGAAGCTCCAATTTAAAAAAAAAAAAAAAAAGGAAAGAAATATAAAGCCCTGTTTGTTCAAGCACCTATCAGTTTTCTTTTACATGCACTGTAACCATTTCCTCACTGATGTATCTTCTGTCCATCTTCTTCCAGATCATCAAAAACGTTACTTTCCCTTTCAGTCTTCTTCTAATTTGCCTTCAAACAGATGTAACATCTCTCTCCTTAAGTCTCACAGCATTTTATCCCTCTTTATTACACTTAGGATATTTTGCCCTGTATTGATTTTTGCACATCTATCTAATCTCTTCTACAACTGTATTCACTTTTCTGGTGGAAAAATGGTGTTTTATTTATTTGCTTTACACATAGCAGCTGTCTAATTTTCTGAACTGATTTAGACTAAGCATACTTTACTGTGATATGCATGTTTACAAACAATTCTATACGGTATGATGCAAAGCTTGGGCACGTAACAAATCAAACCCTGTTTTTGCTGCCCTTCCAGAAACCCCATTCACAACGCAGAACCAAGCCTAATTATACATGACTGTTAGATGAATTTAAAATGCTTTTCTCTGTTCAGCTTGAATATATATTTCAGAAGGAGAAAAGCCTGAAATCTTATTTCAGACCTATCCTCAATTCCCCTCATGATACAAAGTCAAAGTGAGTGTAAATTTTTACAAAAATAGAAGTTACCAAGTTGGTTAATTTCAACTGTTACTAATGAGTCAGGATATACTGACATTTATAAGTTTCACCAAGAAAACTTAACCTCAGGTTAATAAAGGTATGATCACACTTTATCTTTTTTTGATACGTCAGCTAATTCATACCTCAAAAATATTTAATTTGGGAATACCTGAGCTCCTCAGGATAAATTAATTATATTTTAAATTGAGTTTTTACAGTCCGTAACAGAGTTTTATTTCAACATGATCGCTTTGCATTAAATAAAATGAGTCTACCTTAGAGTTCTTCCTTAACAATTTCATTACTAAACTCTGCAAAGAAGCTTTTCATGATGTAGGTTCATCTACTGTGCAGCCTATTGAACACAACATTAGAAGATTAAATACAACCTTCTCTATTGCATACAACATTTTCTAACACTCAAGGGCAGTGAATTTAAACATATTTTAATTGTCAAACCGTTACTTCAAATGATATGTATGAAACAAATAAAACACATATGCTCTGATTCAGGCAGGGGTGAGTATATCGAACTTAGTGTTTTCCTTGCCCTTTGCTTCCTTCTTGCTTGTACCCCTCCACAACCCCTATCCGAAACTCAAACCAGCAATTTCAGAGGATCTTCTGTGAAACCACTGGGGCCATAGCATTTTGCAAACCAATGCTCTAGGGTAAATTTGTTTCAAAAACTAGTGATGCAGGTGCAGAAATATCATCATAAATATCATTTTAGCAACATGGGATTCTTGCCAGTTTCAAGATGTATTATATTTAACTCAATTCCTTCTGTATAATAAAGAACCAATAAGTGCTTAATTTTCTTCACAATGATGTTACAATAATAAAAAGTATGTTGGAGACTTCTGTTTTCCAGTCCTGCATGTAATGAACTTGGAAGGTGTCATTCCTGTCTCCACAAGCAAAAAGCTGAACAAACTGAAAAATCAACAAATCTTAGATCCATCAGATAATTGGGGTCACAGGGAAAACCACTGCCCTCTATGATTGTAGAAATGATAGGCAGATACAGAGAATCACAACTTACCCAAGTAAAAGCCTAGGAAAAAAAAATTCTCCACAGGGACCAATACCAAAAGAGTAGGAAAATCTAAACTGTAAAAGACAAACTGTTGGAAGCTCAGGGTGGACATTAGAGAGTACACAACTCCAGAGGGACCCAGCCCTAGGAATGAAAGACACAATACTGTCAAGATTTCAGTTCTTTCCAACTTGATCTATAAATTCAACGTAATCCAAATAAAAATCCAAGCAAGTTATTTTATGGATATTGGCAAACTGACTCTAAAGCTTATATGGAAAGGCAAAAGACCCATAATAGCCAACACGATACTGAAGAACAAAGTTGCAGGACTGAAACTACCTGTTATGGGCTGAATTGTGTCCCTTCAAAATTCATATGGTAAAGCCCTTACGCATAGTATCTCATAATGTAACCATATTTGGGTATGAGGTCTTTGAGGAGGAATTAAGTTAAAATGATGTCTTTAGGGTGTGTCCTAATCCAATATGACTGGTGTCCTTCTGAGAAAAAGAAACTTAAACTCAGACATGTGCAAGCACAGAGGGAAAACGTAGGGAGAAACAGTCATCTACAAGCCAAGTAGAGAGGCCTCAGAAGAAATTAACCCTGCTGATATCTTGATTTTAGACTTCTGACCTCCAGAACTGTAAGAAAATAAAATTTCTATTGTTTAAGTCAGCCAGTGTGTGGTATTTATTGTGGTTGCACTAGCAAACTAATATACTGCCCGACTTCAAGATATAATATAAAGCTACCATAATCAAGACATGTGGTATAGTCTTGATTATGGTATATGTGGTACATGAATATAGATTATGGTATATGTGGTACATGAATATAGTCAACTGAACTTGAATATAGTTGCATGAATATAGTCAATAAACAAATGGTATACAAAATATACAAAGAACTTCTAAAATTCAACAATAACAGAAAAACCAACTTAATTTAAAAATGGGCAAAAGATGTGCATAGACAACTCACCAAAGAAGACAGATGGATGGCAAAAAAACATATAAAAAGAAGTTTCATATCATATGTCCAGAAAATTGCAAACTAAAACAATAATGAGATGCCACTCTCATTTTCTACATTTTAGAAAAATGGCTAAAATCCAAAAACACTGATAACACCAAATGCTGACAAGGATGTGGAGCAACAGGAACTCTCATTCATTGCTGGTGGGAATTTAAAATGGTGTAGCTACTGTGGAAGTCAGTTTGCCAGTTTCTTGCAAAATGAAATATGCTCTTATACAATCTATCAGTTATACTCCTTGATATTTACCCAATGAGTTGAAAACTTATGTCCACATAAAAACCTGCACACGGATGTTTATACCAGTAGCTTTCTTCATAATTGCCAAAACTTGGAAGCAACCAAGATGTTCTTTAGTAAGTGAACGAATAAACAAACTATGGTACACCCACACAATGCAATATTATTTAGCACTAAAAGAAATGAGTTATCAAGCCAGAGAAAGACATAGGAGAACATAAAATGCACATATACACACACACACACACACACACACACACACACACACACACACACACATACATATATGTATGCAATAAATAATAACAATTATTTATTAATTTTGAGACAGGGTCTTGATATGTCACCTAGGCTGGAGTGCAGTGGTGTGCGACCACGGTTCTCTGCAACCTTGACCTTTTAGGCTCAAGTGATCCTCTCACCTCAGACTCCTGAGTAGCTGGGACCACAGCTGCACACCACCATACCTGGCTAATTTTTAAAATTTTTTGCAGAGACAGGGGTCTCATTTTGTGGTCCAGGTTGGTCTCAAACTCCTGGCCTCAATCAATCCTCCCATCTCAGCCTCCCAAAGTGCTGGGATTATAGGCATGAGCCACTGTACCTGGCCTTAAATGCATATTGCTAAGGGAAAAAAGCCAATATGAGGAAGCTACAATCTACGTAATTACATGGCATTGTGAAAAAGGCAAAATTGTTTATTGAAACAGTAAAAAGATCAATAGTTGTCAGACATTGGGGGAGGGAGGAAAGAAGGGGGAGAGAAAGATGAATAGGTAGAGAACAGGGGATTTTTAGGAAAGTTTCACAATTCCATATGATACTGTGATGGGAATACATGTCATTATACATTTGTCAAGATCCACAGAATGTCAAAACAGAGTGAATCTTAGTATAAAGTATGGACTTCAGTCAATAATAATGTATCAATTCTGGCTCACCAATTGTAACAAATATTCCACTCTAATGCAAGATATTAATAATAGGGGAAACTGAGGAATGAGTGTGGATGGGTATATGAGAACTCTATATTTTCTTTTCAATTTTTCTGTAAGCCTTTTAAAAACTCTTTAAAAAGTCTATTAACAGTTTGCATCAATGTTAAGTATTTCATTCCATTCTTGTTTTTTTAAATCACATTGGCATAACCTAAAGACCTATTTTTGTAGATTATAATCAACTACTATAACCATGAAAAAACTTGGAGTATTTTCTAAATTTCAATGTACTACATAATATAAAGCAGAGGTCTTAAAACTGGAAAATGCATCTCCTTTGGGTTTTAAGAAGACTTTCCAATAGCTACGTGGGCGTGGGCAGTTTCAAAATAATTCAATTTTGAGATCCTCAGTTTCCATAGTTATTCTCTACTAAAATTAATCTACTTGAAAATGTACCTACAGTCTGCAAGTTCTCCTTTCCCATTTAATTGAAGTTGGCAAAAGAAGGCATAGCTCTCACCCACCCTGGACCTTGGTGTGCGTTACATTGCTCCTAAGGGAGAGTCCCATAATTGCAAAACAGACAAACTAAAGGGGATTGCATTTTGTTTCATGATGACCATGGGACACACTCATGGCAACAGAAAGTGAGGAGATTGTCCTGGAAACTGTTTAATTAGAATTTAAAAATGAAGTCGGACTTTGTTCTCATCAATTTGACAATGATTGCCAATTAGACTATATTACAAACCTTTTCTACTAATTGAATGAGCTAAGCCTATACTGCATGATTTGGATGAAAATATATTACAGCATATATTGGTCAGAAATTATACCCTTTGTCACTATTTGAACATATAATAGAAAATTTTATATCAACTTAAAAATGTGTGAGGAGGTACATGGTTTTAAAAAATGATGTAAATATAAATAAAAATATTGATAATTGAATGAAACTTGCTAAACTTGGCCATAACCCAAAAGCTACAAAGAGGGCTTGGCCTTTGGAGTCTCTTACAGGCTTGAATTGGAACTTAGCCATTCATTTGATACATGATTTTGGGCCAATGACTTAACCTCTCTAAGCCTCTTTATCTCTCTGAGAACTAGCTGTGGGGATTAAATAATACCAGCAAAGTGCCTATACAGTGTCTAACACTTAGTACCTATAAATAATAGCAATAAATGGTATTATTTCAACTAGTATAAGCTTCCAAATTCATTCATTCTTGTATACAATTTAAATAGGGAAGAAGACAGGAAACAACTTGAGAGAAACTGAGACATACAAACTTGTTTTTTTGAGCACCTTATCGTATGTAAGATACTGTTCTAAACAGAATGGAATGTACAAAAATCCTTGTTCTTGTGAAACCTACATCCTAGTACAGGAAGATGGAAAGTGAACATAATAGATATGAAAATTATACAGCATATTAGAAGGTGGTGAGTGCTATGGGAAAACATGAAGCAGATTAAGAGTGATTGGCAATGGCAGAATAGGGATAGATTGCTATTTGGAAAAGAAGAGTCAGGAAACCCTCATTAAGAAGGTGATATATGAACAAATATTTGAGGGCATTGAGGCAGTTAGCTATGAAAAGATGTGAAAGAATAACATTTCAGGTAAAGGAAACAGGCAGCAAAGGCCCTGAGGCTTACTGTGTTCAAGCAAGGAGGCCAGTGTGGCTAAAATGGAGCAAATGGTGGGAGAGGAATAAAAGATGAGGTCAGAGAGGAAAGGCAGCCAGGTCATGTAGGGTCTTGGTGGTCACTTAAGGACTTCTGAGTGAGATGAAGAATCAACACAGAGTTTGAGCAGTGAAATGACATGATCTGTCTCATGTTTTAAAAGAATCATCCTCTTGGCTACTGTATGAGAACAGACTGAAGGAGGTCAGGGTTAAAAGAAGAAATCTAGTTAGGAGGCTTAGACTGAGTGGTAGCATTGGAGGTGGTAAAAACTGTTTAAATTATGAATATATTTTAAAGCAAAGCCAACAGGATTTTCTGTCAGATTGAATGTTGGGTAAATAGTAATTGTTTTCTTCTATTTGAAGAGGGAAAAAAATCTTCCTATAAACACCTGAAAAAGATTGTATAACTATAGAGTTTTTAGAGGGAAGGGACTTCTTTCATAACTTCCACAGTATAAGTATCTAAGATGTTAAGTGAGAACAGAAACCATGTATAGCATTTGCATTTCCCACAGTGCCTACATGATCACTTCAGCCCTGTATATGCTTAATATATTTTTTAAAAAGATTAAATGTAGCTGGGCGCGGTGGCTCACACCTGTAATCCCAGCACTTTGGGAGGCCGAGGCGGGCGGATCACCTGAGGTCAGGAGTTCGAGACCAGCCTCAACATGGAGAAACCCTGTCTCTACCAAAAATACAAAATTAGCCAGGCGTGGTGGTACATGCCTGTAATCCCAGCTACTTGGGAGGCTGAGGCAGGAGAATTGCTTGAACCTGGGAGGCGGAGGTTGCAGTGAGCTGAGATCGCGCCATTGCACTCCAGCCTGGGCAACAAGAGCGAAACTCCGTCTCAAAAAAAAAAAAAGATTAAATGTATTAATTGTTATACTACACTCCCTCTCATGACTCTTGGGGGCAACAATTCTGCCCATTCAATCTGCCACAATCTCTTCCCTGTCCTGCCCTTAACTCTTCACTTCTGACAGTGATGATTTTTCCTACATGCTAAGAATGTATATGCTAAGGAAACCAGATGGAGAAATAACTGCCTTTTTGTAGTATTAGCAATAAAATAGAAAAAGAGGGCTACAGTGGTAACCAAGCATTTAGCTTCCATAATTTCCAAAGCTTTGTTACTGCCACGTTGTGTACAAACATGCGCACACTTTACAATCCAAGTGCTTTTTTTTTTAACTAGGTACTAGAAACCTGAATTAATGAAGACATTGCTACTGCTATTATATAAAGAGGTAACATTCAGTTTTGTTTTACTAATATGGACAGAATGTTAATTCAGTTCTTAAATGTAAATTCTTTCAGAAATCCTGAGCTTGAATAAGTTTAATTTTATGAGTGCCTTCAGGTTTGAGAGAAAAGCCATGCCCTGGCATGTTTTCAAACAGCCCTTACGTGAAGACTGCAGTGTTGTAGGGAAGAGGCTTTTATCTCCATTTACTTCCAATCCTAAAATGTACAACTGGTAAAATTAAGAAAAATGGTTGGCGGGTCAAACTAAAATGGTAACTCTTTTCACAGTTTTATAAATGAGACTTTCCTTTCCATATTAAATGTTTTAACACAGCTTTCCAAATATACTCATTCTATAGACTTCTATTCAAATTAGTTGGAAATACATGTTTTCTTATTTTCTACCTTTTATTTAACAAAATGTGTCAACTGAAGACATGGTGATGACTGGTTGCATCACACTTCAAGGTTTTTCTATTAAGTGGCCAATGGCATGCAAGCAATTAAACACACCAATTTGGAAACAATCTTTTCCATATTTTGTTAGTGAAAAATGTGTCTCCAATGTTCTGGTGTGAATCTTTATTAAATAAAATTTTCTATAATGCTTACAATGCTTAAAATGTTCTGAAAGGTTTATGAAATAATATTCTATTAGATGCTCTATTAAATAAAAATTTCAAGAGATTCCACACAGATTTTGTCTATTGTTCACTTCCAATAGAAAACAATACCAATGATCCTAATTTCTCAAATGCCTGTAAATAGAGTGATGAATTGCTGATGTATTCTCCACGAAAGATACCTCCAAAGGTCATAATTTGGTTTGTTTTTATGGCCACACACTACATTTCCTGTGGACCAAGGCAATCTTAAATAACCAGTTATATCTTAACAAGCAAGCAGTTCTCTAACATGGGCAATATTTTGAATGAATGTTTTATTATAATGAATAGCCCTTCTAAGAAATACTTCTCTATTTCCGTTAGAGTAACCATGAGCTAACTAGCATTTCATTAGATATCAAAAAAATCAAGAAGTAAATACTAGTGCATCATATTATATAGAAGAAATTCCAAACAAATTTAGCATGTTTAAACATAGATTACCAGGTGTTCTCTTTTAAATAATTCATATCTATAGCATATAAAGTTTTAACAATTAAAATTGTGGAGCTTATGATAGATAACTGATAATGGGACTATGATTTATGCACCAAAATTGTGGCAACTGAGATCTCATCAAAAACTACTGTCAGGCTGGGTGCAGTGGCTCATGCCTGTAATCCCAACATTTTGGGAGGCTGAGGGAGGAGGATTGCTTGAGGCCAGCAGTTCAAGACCAGTGTGGGCAACACGGCGAGACTCCATCTCTACAAAAAATAAAATTAGCAGGGTGTGGTGGCACTTGTCTGTAGTCATAGTTACTTGGGAGGACGAGGCAGGAGAATCATGTAGAGCCCAGGAATTTGAGGCTGCAGTGAGCTATGATGACACCACTGTACTGCAGCCTGGGTGACAGAGCAAGACACTGTCTCAAAAACAAACAAACAAAAACAAACAAACAAAAAACAACCCACTAATGGCTCATGCCTGTAATCCCAGCACTTTGGGATTACAGGCAGGTGGATCACCTGAGGTCAGGAGTTTGAGACCAGCCTGGCCAACATGGCGAAACCCCATCTCTACTAAAAATACAAAAATTAGCCGGACATGGTGGTGCACACCTGTAGTCCCAGCTACTTGGGAGGCTGAGGCTGGAGAATCACTTGAACCCAGAAGGCGGAGGTTGCAGTGAGCTGAGATCGTGCCACTGCACTCCAGCCTGGGTGACAGAGGGAGACTCCATCTCAAAAAAACAAAGACAAAAACAAAAAAACCCACCAAAACCCAAAAACTACTGTCATCCCTTTATAGTTTTATTAATTTCCAAGTTTTACCTTTCCATGTAAACTTAGAATACCATCAACTTAAACTTAGAATATCATCAACTTATATGGAAGTCATTTGGGTGAACTGTGCATGTGATAACTGTTTTACTGAATTATGACTTTCTTTTTAAAAAGATTACTTATTTTATTATTTTATTTTTTATTTTGAGACAGGGTCTCACTCTGTCACCCAGGCTGGAGTGCAGTGGCACAATCATGGCTCACCATAGCCTTGACCTCCCGGGCTCAGGTGATCCTACCTCAGCCTTGTGAGTAGCTAGGACTATAGGTGCCCACCACCACACCCAGCTAATTTTTGTATTTTTTGTAGAGATGGGGTTTTGCCATGTTGCCCAGACTAGTCTCAAATTCCTGGGCTCAAGTCATCCGCCCACGCCTTAGCCTCCCAAAGTGCCAGGATTACAGGTGGGAACCACCGTGCTTGGCTTGAATTATTACTTTCAATTCACATATGCTCAATAAAAATCATATCTAAAAAGTTATATAGGTTTTTCACAGCACTGGAATAAATATCATCTCTAAGAAATGCCATTATAACAAAATCACCTCATAACAAAAGACTTCTAAGTCCTAAATGACCACTCCATTTTTTAAAAAAGTAATAATCGTACAACTTCAATAAACAAAACAATTTGAACAGTTCTTACAAACTTCTGCAACAGAGAAGACATTTATTGAATCATATAATAATAATACTCAGTATAGAGTACAGTTATGCTGGCTCCATTGTCATAAATCACTTAAAATTGGGTCCAGATGGTAAGCTGGTAAAAGCCAGGGAGTGTCTTTACAGGGGGTATCCAGAGGTTTTCCTACCCCTAATAGATATCAGGGTTGAAGAGCAGACTATTTAGTCATCAGCCTTGCTGCCCCAGCCCCCTCATCGACCTTCTAAGCTCCCCCCAGAAAAACAAAAATGAACACTAAGCAGCCAAAAGCCAGTTCCTGCTTACAACAAAGTTCCTGATGGGAATAAGAGAACCGTAATACTGTAACAGACCTGGAGCTTGATGACCTATTTTAGCTGCTAGCAGCTAAACCTTAAGTCACATGGCTACTTCAGAGGTTCACAGAATTCTGTATGCAGCAGAGTCAGGCATGAAAAGTGCTTTTCACAGTCACTTGGCAAATAAGTCTTGTTGTTTATTTTCTACCTTGAGATGCTGCAGTCTTTACTCACCAGGGAGCTCAATGTGCCATTATAAAGGTTGTTGTGAGGATACATGTTTTGGTATCTGTGTCTAGTGGTCTGCCATCTAAATACTCATATGTATCTGTGAGGGCTATTAGATGCTAGGCTAGGCTAGATGAGGTTTTTGTTGTATGCCTTTCAGTCCAACTGGAAAAAAGTAGGAAAGTGGAAAAATACCTTGTTTATAAAGACATAAAATCTTACTTATGTCTCAATTTAGTAAGCTATTTATCTATAATGTCTTAAATCTCTGATATTATGTGTAATGCATGATGTTTACTTTTAATGACTGATAATGTGTGATATTTTCTTTCAATGGTTTAAGTAATATGAAATAATCACATACTTCCCTTTGCAAACCTTAAATACTTTCTAATGGCACTAGGGTAGTTAAATCATTTTTGCTCTCAAGCTTGCCATGTCAAATGAGCTACAAAATTGATCTTTTAAGTTTTGTGCTCTACACATTAACAATTTAACAATTTTTTTGGTCCAAAAAACTTCTAAGTGGATAGTTGTGATTCAACGTATAAATGTGTAAGCAAAGAAACCATTTTATGATTTATTTTATGGTTTTATTTTGAAAATTAGGCTGATGTGAAAGGAAACTAAGGCCCTTTAGTTTCTATCGGAAATCTTTAATTATAAGCACTATACAGTTGAAAGGCATCCTAAATTAGGTATTACCTTACCTCTATTTACTTTTATATAATTATTCTGATGAATGATGTTATTACAGCATTACACAAAATAACTAACCCACTTTTTTTTAATGTTTCCTAAGTGATAAACACATTATATTACATATAGATTAAGGCAATAAATCTCCAACTAAAATAGTTAACAGTAAATAAAAAGTAGGAACTATAATTCCTATTTCTTGGTTAGAAAAAAATAACCTTATGAAAAAGAATGACTTGGGGAAAATATTTTATAAATAAAATTTTAAGAAATAATTATACTTTTCTAAAAAATATAAAAATGGTTATTTTAATACCCAATTTAGAGAACAAAATCTGAGAAACATGACTTTTGACACTGTGGGCAACGCAAAAGCCTCCCTTTGCTTGAAATTTTCACTTTGTATTATTGTGGAGTGTCATGGAGACAGAATCACAATGTGACATTTTTGTCCTCATCTTTGATGTCCCTAGCATAAAATTATTACTCTTACAGAAAGAAGGAGTCTCCTACTTGGAAAACAATGAGGTTTATTATGTAACAGTTAGAAGGGTAGCAGAGTGGCTGCAAATCTTCTAAAGGAATGGTAAAAGATGACAGGGACACAACACTTCGCAAACTGAATTTTAAACAATGATTCAAATTATCATAAAATAATTAATCATGTTTCAGTCAAGTGATAATAGATATAAATGTCAATTGACTAGGAACAATGAATATGTAAGCCCATGGGATATTACTATCCAGTGTTATCAAGATGTTATCAACTTGGCACCTCCCCTCAATTTGAAGGGTACATTTTAAATGCTCAGTTGGTTTGGCCTTAATTAGTCATCCTGATAGGTATCCATACTGAATCACTACCATATGTCTATAAAGGCAAGAGGAAGAGATAATATAGATTAGCTAAAAAATGCATTTAAATTCAAATCAAATTATTTGATAGGGTTTTAATGCATCAAGTAACAAACTCATCATTAAAAAGTCGAGTTTTGCATATGCCAAAGATTTAGAAGGAAGTCAGTATATTGGCAGGGAAGGATGAGTTGTGTGAAGAAGGAGCTAGCAAGATCTTCACTAAGAAGGAAAGACTGAGTTAGATGTTAAGGTATTTTGAAAAACAATTCTAGGTTGATATGGAGGCATATCCCAAGCAGAAAGTATAAATCCTTAAGGACAATATATAGTTTGGTAATTAGGGAAAATCTAAACAGTTTAGTTTGGGTTTGGAGGACTGATTACTAATACCCTTCTCCATGAAACAGACAACCTAGACCCATATAGAGAGCGGGAATAATTAAACATGCAGTCAGGTA
Organism: Homo sapiens; assembly: GCF_000001405.40. Classification (NCBI taxonomy): domain Eukaryota; kingdom Metazoa; phylum Chordata; class Mammalia; order Primates; family Hominidae; genus Homo; species Homo sapiens. The sequence goes on along the minus strand of NC_000011.10, from coordinate 31,669,745 downwards.
TTTAGCAGAGTTAAACATTAGTTTTCCACTCATTCCACATATGTTTAATACGTATCTATTGTGTGCTAAATCCTGTGTAAGGTGCTGTGGGTGAATGACTGAGGAAGAAAAAGACAGTTTCTGCCACTAGTTTATGGTATGGTGAAGACAGACATCAAAGAAACAGGAAATTAAAATAATGTTGTAGATGCTACAATAACTTATGAGTTACTCTGGGAGCACAGAGGTAGGCTATCTAACCTAGTCTTGAAGAATCAGAAAAATCATTTTAAAGGAAGTGACATCTAAGTGGAGGACTACATGAAGAGCAAGATTGATCTATTGCAGAAAAGGGGAGAGCATTTTTCGCATTTATAAAAGACGTGGGCCAGGCGCGGTGGCTCATGCCTGTAATCCCAGCAGTTTGGGAGGCCGAGGCAGGCGGACGAGGTTAGGAGATTGAGACCATTCTGGCCAACATGGTGAAACCTGTCTCTACTAAAAATACAAAAAATTAGCTGGGCATGGTAGTCCCAGCTACTCGGGAGGCTGAGGCAGGAGAATCCCTTGAACCTGGGAGGCAGAGGTTGCAGTGAGCCGAGATCGCGCCACTGCACTCCAGCCTGGTGACAGAGCGAGACTCCATCCCAAAATAAAATAAAAATAAAAATAAAATAAAATAAAAATAAATAAAAGACATGGAAGTGACAGAAGAATGGGCCATTGAGGAGACTGCAAGTGAGAGTAAAGCTGCAAGTCGAAGTTTGAGACAAGAGGTGAGGCTGGGGAGGCAGGCAGAGGCCAGATATTAAGGACATGTATTTTAATAAAAAGCATTGGACTAAATTAAAAATTCAACTAAAATACCTTCATAAATATTTACTAAATGAGTTAATAAACAGCTATGGTTGATCTCACCCTCACATAATTAGTCCTTGTAAGTTCAATTGACTCAGTATGTATATCAAAATAAGAAACAGCTTCATCCTAGGTCAGGAAATTAAAAATCTGACAGATTTCTTATTTTTCTCTCTACAGGGTTCTTACACACACACACACACACACACACACACACACACACACACACACACGGTACCAAAGGAAATTTCATTCCGATATCTAAAGCAAAGAAGAGAATCACAGCTAGGTGCGGTGGCGAACACCTATAATTTCAGCTACTCAGGAGGCTGAGGCAGGAGGATTGCTTGAGCCCAGGAGTTTGAGTCAAGCCTGGGCAACATAGCCAGCCCTTGTCTCTTGGGGAAAAAAAAAAAAAAAGAATTACAACACATTACTGGAAAATAATTATTCCTTTGTGATGTATGAAACAAATGACTTGAGTGTTGCCAATCATTTTATTAAAAATAGTGTTAATCTGTCACAGGAGCAGTGTAAAAAAGTAGTCTGAGGAATATAATAATTTTGCCTCATGTGATGGTGTTAAGGCATTTTTCAGGATAATTGTTTTTTGTCACTTAAAAAATAAGATTCATCATATACCATGCTTAAGCATATACGTATATTAAAAAGTGTTGAAAAGAAACTTATATTAAAACCAAAACCAAAAAGCATAATTATTTAAATATTATACAAAACATCATTTTAATTTGCTTGTTTTCTAAGTTTAAAACAAATTCTGCTTTCCAAATAAAGCAACTACTGTTTTGGATAATCTCTATTCAATAATTACCATTTAAACTTTTTTGAATATTTACTATAAAGCAGTGTTATATGAATTCTTCTGATTAGAAAATAAATGCTTGTGGGAAAAATGGGAGCAATTTTATTTTAGAAATGATGCAGATGCACCCTATAATAAAAAAGTAGACTTAATGATCAGATAATTAGTTGGGAGGAGTAACGGAGTATGATAAGATGAATGGATCATAGATTTTATTGCCTAAGTTAAAATTTAGCACAAAATCCAGTCTGAGTAGCACGAGTCAGTGTATAAGTTAGACATTTTCATTTAACTGCTTTTGGCATAAAGAATATATATAGTTTACTAAGTTACTTTCATAGTACTCCCTCTTATTCAGAAATACATGTCACTAGATTATATTATGCAGTTCACCGGTAGAAGTTTTATAGTTGAAATTTTAAAAATGTGGAATTATATAAACTTCATTTTGACAGTGTTCTTCAGGATGCTTATTTTAGATGGTGTTACCTAAATCTTACATGGCTCACTGGTAACTATTAGTTAAAATAAAAATAACGTAGAAAATAATAAAATTAACGCAGATTAAGTTTGTTAAAAATAAATTATGTTACATCCAAAAATATAAGAATGTTTCACTCATTATACTAAGTAATCACTTCTGTGATGTCAGGAGATTAATTTCCATAAACTTCCAAAATAAAGTTGATGGTTATTTGACATTAGGTGCTTTAGAAAAACTTTGTGTAGAATGCAGTAGTGATTATACTACTGCTTCATAAGATTATAGAAAATACTCCCTATACTAAAAGGAATCTTTCCAAGGGAATAATAAACTTTAATTAAAAGTAATGGATAATGAGAAATAAACTTATTAAGTGCTTGCTCCAATGATATAACAGACTCTATGGGCCAACCTTCTCAGGCCATCTAAACATCTTCAGGTGGGATCACATTTCAACAAGCCAGGACAGATGCAAATAGACTGCATTTTATAATAAACTTATCTATATGTGGTCTATGATAAAGTATTTTAATATCCAAAAGCCTTTGTTTAAATAACCTCAATCTTTCCTTTTACAATTTGTCTGTTGCTCACTTGGTCCTCCATGCTGGTTGTAAAAACTACCCTTACTATTAAATCCTCCACATACTAACACATTTTTGAAAATTACTTCAGATTTCTCTTTTTTCAGGGCATTAGTAAGTCTTTTAATCACTCTTTTTACATCATCTCAAAATGTTGATATTTCCTAATTCCAAAGGAGAGCCATTTTCACAAAAAAGATGAAAGGCAGTAAATAGTAAGTAAGTTAATTTTCTTAGGTAGCCACTTTTCTCTAGACTTTACATTTCTCTAGATAGTAAAAATGGTAATTAAGTCTACATAAGGAACCTTTTTTTTTTTTTTTTTTGAGACAGAATCTCACTCTGTCGTCCAGGCTGGAGTGCAGTGGCGCAATCTCGGCTCACTGCAATCTCCGCCTCCCGGGTTCAAGTGATTCTCCTGCCTCAGCCTCCTAAGTAGCTGGGACTACAGGCACATGCCACCACACCCGGCTAATTTTTGAATTTTTAGTAGAGACAGGGTTTCACCATGTTGGCCAGAATCGTCTCGATCTCCTGACCTCATGATCCACCCACCTTGGCCTCCCAAAGTGCTGGGATTACAGGCGTGAGCGACTGCACCCAGCCTACAAAAGGAATCTTTATTAAAACAATTAAAGTGTTTTCCGCTATAGTGTTCAGTTTATTATTCTCTTCAAATCTATTTTTAAAAATATTTAAAGAATCTGAAGGCTGGGTGTGGTGGCTCATGCCTGTAATCCCAACACTTTTCTAGGCTGAGATGGGAGGATCACCTGAGGTCAGGAGTTTAAGGCCAGCCTGTATAACATGGTGAAACCTTGTCTCTACTGAAAACACAAAGACTAGTCGGGTGTGGTAGCCCACTCCTGTAATCCCAGCTACTCGGGAGGCTGAGGCACGAGAATTGCTTGAACCCAGGAGGCAGAGGTTGCAGTGAGCCTAGATTGTGTCACTGTACTCCAGCCTGGGGGACAGAGTGAAACTCTGTCACAAAAAAAAAAAAAAAAAAAAAAGAATTTGAAACTTATTTTGAAAAACATTTTATGTTAAAGTGAGAGAATTAGGCTGGGCACCTTGGCTCATACTTGTAATCCCAGCACTTTGAGAGGCCTAGGCAGGTGCTCTGCTTGAGCCCAGGAGTTCAAGACCAGCCTGGGCAACATGGTGAAACCCTGTCTCTACAAAAAATAGAAAAATTAGCTGGGCATGGTGGCGCATGCCTGTAGTCCCAGCTACTTGGGAGGCTGAGGAGGGAGGATCAATTGAGTCTGGGAGGTTGAGGCTACAGTGAGCCATGATTGCACCACTGTACTCCAGCCTGGGTGACACAGAATCTCTCAAAAAAAAAAAAAAAAAAAAAAAGGAAGAGAGACGATTAAACATTTTTATAATATAAAAATTTACTGAGATGTTTCAAGAACTGGCAAGAGTCAAATACTAATAGGAATCTTTGATATTTGATGATTATGGTATATCAATAATATAATATTTTAGAAAGCATAAATACTTTGAAAAATGACTTTATAGTTTTTAAACACACGGTGAAGCTAACCTATAGGAAGTACTTGTAATGGTAGAAAGTTTTACCAAACATATTTGTGTTAAAAAAGCTTCATAGTACAAAAGGAATACTACTGAAAATTAAAAATACTAGAGAGAGAGAGCGAGAGGGAGAGAGACTTCCCTTTTGCTACAGGCATAGTTTAAGTCTTGTGTCACAAATAAAAGGATCCTCCCTAGCATATGGAGTAGTTGCCATGTCCTCCCAGGGATGGTCTGTAGCTATGTTCACCTCAGGCTCATCAAGAAGAGGTAAACTGTCAAGTATAATTTCAGTCATAGGGTGGTTTGGTTGAGACAGATTAGTGGTATGCAATCATGATAGATAGTTTATCCCAGCTCCAAACTGCCGCTTGGGAAATCTTGAACTCAAATGAACAGAGACTCAGTCATTATTAGTGTCAAAAAGGTATACAGAGGCAAAATTTGGTTGGCAGCATAAAAGATGAATCAAAGCAAAAAAGTGACCAATTGCATGTTCAAAATCGAAATTGAGATGCATACTACAGCTTGGAAATACTTTAAATACCAGAAAAGTCACACATTATTAATTGCGCATTGATTAATATTTAAAACATGTTTCTGTAATGTATTTTCAAAGAGACAATAAAATTACATGTATTTTCTTATTTCAAAACCTTTATTCTCAAGGTGATGCATAGTAAGGAGTACCCTTTTAGATACAGGAGTAAGATAGCAAAATGTTTTTTAAAAATTTGTTTAATTTTTAGTATCTTTCCTTCAGCTGCATATTTCCAGAAATAAGACTTTTTAGAAGAAGAATTTAGTTTTATGGGACTATTTTAATATTCAAATGTCTTACAGTTTGATGACTTTCTCAGGAAGAAATCAGGTTATAATAAAAGCATGAATTTAAAATGTGGAAGAACCTAATCTAAATAACTTTCCAAATATTTTCTAAACACTGAAAAATATATATTTATAAATTGTAAAATACATTATTCTATTAGCAAACACAAACTTTGGTATCTTTAAATCAGACTCCCCCCCCAACCAAATATCCACAAAAAGAATGTCCTCAAGTGTCAATGCCTGAAGTGATACGCTCTGACAAATCTAACAGCTCTTTCTGTGTCATTCCTAATGCACTTGTCACTCAGTATTATCCATCCTCATTAATGACAATGGGAAAGTTTATCTTGGGAACACGTTTTAAATCATCTACTCTTTACAATGGGACCATGAAATCTCTTACAAAACATGAGGCGGGAACTACTCTGACAACAAAACCCCTTCCTGGCAGCTTTATTCTTAATTCCTGTTCAAGGAGTAATCTGTTTATTATAAAATCATACAGAACAATATATTAAACAGAATTTGAAACAAGAATAGCTAGTGTGATTTCCAAGCTTACAAGTATTTTTACAACATTTTTATTAGGCTGAAAACACTACATTGAGTTCTTTTTGTGTGATTTCATGCAATCTTCTATTCTACATCGTAAACACCTTTGAAAAGAAGTTTTGTTTTACATAATTTAAAAATAATTTTCAAATGGTAAGGACACTGGTGTTTATATAATTATTTTAAAATACAATAACTTACATTAGCTTAAATAAAAGCAGTTATTAAGTAAAAATGTGCTCATGTTTAAATTTCCTAACCAAAATGCCAAAATATTCCAACTACAGCATCCTATAGCTTAAAAATAATCTTACCAGGACCAACATTACTTTTAATAATATATTCACCCTTTAAACTTCAGTAAGATCTTGTTTACTTGTCTAAGAAATTCCTACATTAAAAAAATGCATATAAGCAAGCAAGACTTCATAGCACCCGCTTAAACTTACTGTTTTAATTTGACTATCAATTATAGACACTGGATAGTGTGGCTAATGAACAGTTAAAGTTTTTGAGTATACTTCTGCTAATAAAATCAATATATCCTTACGCCCAATATAGAAATGTATCCTTATGCCTCTCAATATTCAGTTATCAAAAGTTTAATGTTACATTTTGATTTACTGTATAGTAAAAAAATCTTAAGTAGATTATAATAAAAAACTCAATATCACATTTAAAGTTGATTTTATAACTTTTAATAATCTGAAGTCATCTGTGTATTCAAACATGCTACAAATGAAAACACTGAATTTTAATATTTAAATTGTATGAAGCTACAATTCATAAAGGATTTTAATTTCAGAATTCAAAACTTTTAACATTTCTAGTTAATGCTTTATTTTAAAAAAGGTTTCTTTAAAAGATGTTGTGCTTAAGGTTCTAAGTTAAATGTACAATAAACACCATAAATGGTTAAATTTATAATGTTTTATAAAAGAAATATAAATCTAATGAAAACTAATATATATTTATACATTACAATTGTTTCTCATATATTAGGTATTTATTATCGATCTGGTAACATTGTATAGAAAATAGCAATTTATCTGTGGCTTCAGAAAGCTGAATTAGTACTAATGGTTAAGAGGTTGCTTTAGCATTTGAAAGAATCTGGTAGAGACTGAAATGAGGTGCCCCTAAGAAAGTGAGTTCCACATGATTACAGAGAGGCTGGATGAGAAAATATGTGCACACAATGAGAAGCTGGCTTTGAAGCACTTTAAGCTCCCTTCCAATTTTAACCTTTTATGAAATCTAGGTATTTTCTCAGAGAGACATTAATGCAGACTATTTGAAAAATCTAGGTATTTTGTCAAAGACATTGCATAAATTCTACAAGTGCAAATTACACAGCAAATGACTGTATGTGTTATTTTTCAAATAAAGCTTAATTTTAAGAGTATAAATCATTATCACCAAATTGACAATTCTCTCAGTAAATTTTCTTTAAAGTATGCGGCTTTTTAAAGTAGGGGTTCTTCTTTATAGAAAATTTTCTTTGTAAATGACGAGACAGAAAATATCTTTGCCTTCGCAGGTCGTAAGATCTCAACTTAGTGATGCACTGTGAAAACAGCCATAGACAAAATGATAGGAATGGCTGTTACAATAAAATGTATTAAAACAACAACAACAACAACAACATGGAGCTGGATTTGGCCCATGGGCCATAGTTTGCTAATCACATGTTCTATTGCAACAGGGGCATAGTTGCTTTAATATTGCCCTTTATTTACCCACTTTTATGTGGACAAAAGCTTAAGAACATTTCCAATGAAATGATTGGAATGTGATAATAATTGAATGCTAAAGAAATTGCTCATGTTTATAGTACTATTAAGACTACATCACATTTCCAAAATATCTTTACATGTACTTTTTTTGTTTTTGACTGAATTACACATTAAGTCAATAACATATCTTAATGAAATGCATTCAGTTATAAATCACACACTGTAAAGCTTTTCTCCTACATATAATTGTCCTTAATTTAAATTTCTGTTTGGATCAGAATGGTTTCTCAGGAAAAAATTCTGAACAAGCCAAACTGAAGAACCAGATTGGAATTTGTCAGCTTCAAGTGTATAATAAAGAGGTCAATAGGATGATTCTTCAATAAGGATTAGTCCTAGATTCTGTTATGGAAGTGGTATCAGTTACTTTACTGATAATGTGTATTTAAATAAAATTGTAGAATATCCAAAATGTGTTAAAATTCCATTTTACATAATTATTTCATCTGTAACTCATAAGTCTCATGAACTGTTTTCAACAATAACAGCTCATTATCTTATTAGCTGATATTTTTTGAAGGTTGTTTTACTTACGTAAAACCTTAGAAATATATTAAGCATCTAAAGAAAACTGTATTCACACTATCAAACTATTCCGTATAATCTGAAATGAGTTTTTTTAATGGTCACACCCTCTTACATGTTTTGAGCAATATCAAGAGGACATTCATTCATTTATCCATTCATGCAATATTTGACGAGCACTTATATGATCAGGCAATGAACTAGGAAAGGGAGATACAATGATGAATAAAAATACCTACGTTTATAACACCTATGCTCTAAAAGAATGATATTTTCCCAAAGTTTGATACTTTATAAAAGAAATGCATGATGTTTTCCGTGTACTAAAGTATGGCAAAACAAAACAAACAAAACAGTGCAGAATGGATATTCAAGAACTAAATAAAAAGCAGAGAAGATTACTTGAAATAGTGCTCTTCTTGGATACTTACTTCATGATTGGCCTTTGGCCTTAGTATTTTTATACACCAATCAGTCCTACAGGTTTTTAAAGGTTAATTTATCATTATTTGCTTCTTGATTCAAACCCATTGTTAAATTACTTTTGTTAATCCTAGAAGGTATTGTTTGACATTGACTAGAAATTTCATTTTTTTGATAGTACACAGCAATAAAAAATATTAAGGGGGTGTGTGTATGGTTGCTGTGTCTGAATATGCAAGTATAGAGAGAAGAATCTAGAAAGTGTTGAACAAATATATTTCATTATATTTTTAAAATTTCTTCGAGATTAAAAAATGACTTGTATCTCACAAATATACATACATAACATGTAAAATCTAAGTGTATTAAAATTGTTGAAAGAAAATATTTTCTTTGTATTTAGTACAGATCATTATTAATTCATTCAGAATAGATCATTACTAATACTTTATCTGGACCACCATTTTTTCTAAGACTTATTGAAAAGGCTATGAAATATAATTAAAACAAATCACTATCTAGTTGGATTCCTTTTTCATACTTATGCATGACAAATTTTGAATCTCAATGCAGAAAAGATAGACTGTATAAATCCCAACTACTTTGAAACATGCTAGTTTTATGGTAAAGGAGAGTTGAACACTATCACTGTGTTGTGTTTTGCTACACTTAAATATGGTTCATATGTTAAAAAAAAACAAGTACATATGTGTATACATATGTGTAAGCAATTTTCCCTTAAAAGCTGTAACTATGTATTTTAATCATTTTCTATTATTATTTATATCAAGTATATAGTCCTATTGCATTTGGTTTTGGTCAACATTTTAGCATTTTGTTTGTAAAAATATTGATAAGCTACTTTGCGCTAGCCTTTTCTTTGCCTACTGACTACAAGAGAAGTTTACCCATTTATTTACAGGATCAACAAGGGCAATCCACTTCATGCTATAGCACTGACCCTTCACAAAGATCTTGTAAATGAGTAGCCTATTACAATATGTACAAGTGACCTTTAATTGCACCAAGAAGCTTTTTGTTACCATCTTTTTCAATGCTACACCATAGCTACAGTACAAGCTGGGAAAATATTTCTTATGGATCCGGCAGAAATATCAACAAAAAAGCCCGTTTCAAAATATGTAAGTGAAAAGTTTGAGGCATTTAAGTCTACACTATAATAATGCCTTTTAAATAACTATTGATCAGAAAGATAAGCTTTTTTCATTCATATAATTATTTAGAAAATTAATAAACATTTCATTAATTAAAGACAAGAAATGTAATTAAATACAACTTTGCTTTTAATAGCCTTTGGAAACAAAGATAGTTCAATCAAAATTGATATTTGTTTTTTGAGATGGAGTCTCGCACTGTTGCCCAGGCTGGAGTGCAATGGCATGATCTTGGCTCACTGCAACCTCCACCTCCTGGGTTTAAGCAATTCTCCTGTCTCAGCCTCCCAAGTAGCTTGGATTACAGGTGCCTGCCACCACGCCCAGCTAATTTTTACATTTTTAGTAGAGATGGGGTTTCACTATTTTGGTTGGCTAGGCTGGTCTCGAACCCCTGACCTCAAGTGATCCATCTACCTCGGCCTCCCAAAGTGCTGAGATTACAGGTGTGAGCCACTGCACTGAGCCTATAATGGAAAACTTTAATCGTAGTAAAATATACTTCTCTCTTTTTATTAAATGACTATATACGTTCAAGTTTTATTATTTGAAATGTTCAATGAAGAATCCTATACCTTAAAAAACACCCAAATACATTCCAAATATCATTTATATTGAGCAATAATATTTGAAACAAGTTTTCAATAAAGCATAGGGTCAGGTATTTCAACTGATTTACTCAGAAATTTTTGAATGAGTGCAATATATATTTGACATTCTGACAAAAAATTGAAGCCAAATACTCAGTTTCATTAAACCCTTCATCTTGGGTATCTTATTTCTGGAAGGCTCATGCCAAAATGATTTAGTTTGATTCTCTACAACAATGGTGGGTTGACTTGACAGCACCTGACAAAACAGTTCAGTGAATTTCACGATACCAGATACAAAGAACCTAAACTGGCTACTCTATAAAATGTCTACTGTGACTTGGAGTGATGACAGTAATAAATTTCCCAAATTTTTAATTTCTACTTAAGTAAGAGAACCGCTTTACCAGTTTTTGGGTTAAAGACATTCCCATTACATTCTACTTTCTCTTAATTATTTATTATGGTCCACAATTCTACCTTTTAAAAACTAATAATTTATATTTATCATTATATTTTCTTAATGAGGAACAATTTCTTCGTATTACTAAAATGCAGAAAACTTTTTCATAATATTCATCAATAAAAGAGGAAAACATTTTACAATCATAATATTTGTTGCTTAATTTTGATTAAAGATGGTATTTAAAGAACTTCCAGCAAATCAAGCTTTTTGCAAAAGAGAAAAATAGCTCTTAATATGAAAGAATCAAACCTTCATTAGAACCAGTTATGATGACAGGGGAGGAAAAAATTAGAAATTTGAAAAATGAATTCAGTAGACCCTTATTAAAAGTTGTATATACCTTGATTATCTCACAGGATAATTTTTGATGCTCCGAAAATAACAAATGTAAAATACCTTAGAAAAATTTAAAATACAAAAACAGGTTGATTAGCTATAAGCAAATTAATATTGGTAAAAGTACCTGAACATAGAACTTAAGTGAGTACAATCATAATATATTGTAATTAAATTTGGCACACTTTTAGACTGTATCAAAATAGTTGATAAGGAAAACTACATTTCTTTGTATACAATACTTTCTCACTTTCTTTTGGATTTAGAAATCCTATAACAGTAAATAGTATTTTAGAGAATAGCTTTTTTTTTGCAAATTAATTTTTCCATAAAAACCTACCATATTACTAGAAATAAGTAAAAAACAGAATATCATCACCCTAATGTATTCACACATACATATGAATATATATATATATAAAATAACATCATGTTATATAAGGGAGAAGCTGTGATTAATCCAATCATAATTTTATAATGTATTTTACAAAAAGTAGAAATGCATGCTGGGGAACAGAAGAATTTTTAATATGAATGTTACATATATATATATCACATTAACACATTTTCTGAGATTTAAAAAAACATTTTTTATTGAAGAATCCTTCAGGACACAGGCTTTCTGGCTTATGTAATGAAGACGAGATAGCAGTACAGCTTAGGGCATGGCAGATAGTTGGTGGTTAAGAGCACAGGCTTTAGAATAAAACAGGCTTCAATTTAAGTGTCATTTCTGCCAGTTATCAGTTTTGTGACTCCGGATAAGTTAAGTTGCTTGATCTCTCCAAACTGTAAGTTTCCTCATTTGTAAAATGAAGATAATAATGTTATATGGGTAGTTGTAAGGTCTATGAAATAATGCCTTTAAGCACTTGCAGTAGTCCTAGGCCTCTGTTAAACATGTAATAAAACTTATTTTTTTTAAAATTAATAATAATTAACAGAGTTTGTGAACATGTTAGCTTTCCAGTGTTATTCTGCATATGACTTCAGAAGATCTGAATTTAATCCTGGCTGTAACCACAGATGTATGACTTTGGGAAGGAAGGTTATATAACTCCTGTATATTTCTTTTTATTAAATATGTGAAATAGTATGTATGCAAGGGTTCCTGTGAGGATTAAAATTAAATATAATAATGTATATGAAAGCACCCAACACAATACCTAGAACAAAGTAGATACCAAATATATGTTTTTAAAGAAACTTACAGTAGGCATGAGTTACTTTAAAAACTGTAGTTTCACAATTTAACAAATATTTATGGAGCACCTATTACACATACTCAGGATTTAGCTGCAAATAAGACATACTATGTCCTTACTCTTGTGGAGCTTACATTTTAGTGGTGAGGTTGGGAAAATAAACAAATAAACTAATGGACAATTATAAAATACATTACACTGAGAATTCGAACAGTACATGAGGGTGAGTAACTCAGTGAACACTTCAGACAGGCCAGTCAGACTTCTCTAAGGAGGAGGTTGAGGTAGTTAATTTACAATCCAAATGACATGAAAAGGTCTTGAAAAGATCAGAGGGATGAGGATTCTGAACATTTGCTGTGCAAAGGCACTGAGGCAGGACTAAACTTGAAATGTTTTAGGTACAAAAGTATCTGTAAAACTACCTACATCACAAGCTTAAGGATACCATATTTACTAAGCATTTGTATTACAGGCACCTTGGAGGATATACTAGTAAAATGTATCTTCTTACTTTCTAGGAACTTGAAAAATACATTTAAGTGAGGAAATGAAATAGCTGTGATTTGTCATCATTTTCTGTTTTCTTTTTTTCTATCTTCCTTAGACACTATAAATGACACATTATGAAAAGAAGTGTTTCAGAGAGTATCATGTAAACTGGACTAATTCCGCTACAGCAGTTCTACAAAGTCTTGAAGAAAATCTTCGAAGTACTGCAATATAATTTTCTTGGAGCCAAACCATAAAACACATATATAAATGTTTATGTCTGCAAAACTTAGGAAGAAGGGAGAAGAGACCTTTTCCCCTTTGCATATTTAGACAATGCTGAGGCTGTATCCTCCTGGTCTAAAAATTGAGATAACTGCATTACAGGTAACCATGGTATCTTTATGAGAGACTGTTAGTAAGATTCTAAATATTTGACTTTGCTTCGTGCAACTTTTCTTAAATTTCCTGAGTAACTTAGTTATGAATAAATAAATAGTGCAATGTAAAAATATTAGACCCTAAGTTCAATTTATAAAATGAAGATTTTTATATAAAAATTACGGTCAAGGTGTCATATTTTAATTATATTTCTCAAAGAAAGATGATTCATTTGATATAACTAATTATAAGTTTCATATCCTACGTGTTGATGACCACACAGAAACTTTAAGACATATAATAGCCAAATATGAATCTACTCTTCCTTGCCAAATGAAGCAATGATGTTCTGCCAGCCAAACTAACAGGAAGCATGTGAAATGAACACAGAAGCAAACAGGACTTACACTGCCTAAGGGAAAGTCAGCAAGATGGCAGTTTCAATCATTTGGAATAATACTAAAGCAGCCTTAGGCTTTTCTCAGAATGGAAACATGTCACTATTACTGCAATATTTCAACAAATCAGAATGCAGAGAAAAGAACACTTATGCAACCACATCTTGGAAGGGCACTTTACTCAACATTTAAGTGGAAAACAATTATAAAGAAATTTCAGAAAAACTGTCAGTGAACATAAATGACTCAGGGAAAAATGTTTTTTCTTCCAAAGTGCTTAATAGATTTTTCAAAAGCTTACCACTTAGAAACAATTTCCTTATATATTCTCCTTAAGGAATTATTAATATAAAGACAAATTTATATAAAGAGGTAAGTGAAAAGTTTGATATTCAGGTTGCCGGTAAGAAATGCTCATTTTTCCCCAGTACAGTACTATTACTTTGGAAGGTTTGATCAAAGGGAATAAGCTTTCACAACATTTATATAGGAAGTTAAAAAATACTTCAAATATTTTGGGAACTTACCTAATCAGGATACTTTTAGCATGTGTCTAGTCATGTAGCCATCTTTGGTCAATCATCAAAAAATCAAAGGGAAATTGGCATGACTCAACCCTAACTTTAATACCGCATGATTGTGTCGTGTAAGCTTGTTTTGTGTGAGAGCTGCTGTGGTTTTAGCAGAGAGATTAACAACCGGACCTAAGCTGGCCTCCAAACCTTGCCCTGCTGATGCCTCAAGCTCTTTGAAGTCTGACCATCATACCTGGCAAAACAACAGTGGGAACTAGGATGGTGTCAGATCTAATCAAATTGTTTGCTGCAGCATAGCTAACTATGGGGTTCACTAATTGGCCCAATTGCGGATTATACCTTTTGCTACAGATTCAAGACAATAATTTAGTTAAATGATGTTTTTTTTTTTCTTATCTCTTCTAATTAAGATTCCAAAGTGGGAAGAAATAGGATTAGACAGATTCTCAAAACTGTGTTCTCCTTAAGGTGGTATGCACTTTTGATAGGTTAACTATGGCATGTGAAATATATAAAGTGTAGTAAGTATTAAACCAACTTCTGATGATTCTTTGAAACCTATGTAATGCTATTATATGCTGATATCACTTGAGAATAAAAGCATAAACATGAGAATGATAATATAATGAATATATCAAAATGTACACATGTAAAAAATTAGATTTCCATTGTTAAAAAATGTTAATTTGGGTTTATTTTTGACAACTGATTTAATCTAAATGAATAGATGCCTATGTTCAACTTTGATTTTCTTTTCTTTCTGCTAGCTGCAGTGTTATCTAGGAATAAAAGCTAGTTGAAACAGCAAACAATATTTGTAGTATATTGGACTACAGGCCATGATGCTACAACTTAAGAAGGCTCCCAAGCCAGACATTTATATTTCCATTATTTTATTTTAGTAACATAATTGTGAGTTGACAAGCAAGTTAACCATCCTGCTCCCATCTCTAGATACAGTAAACATATTCAACATTCTACTTCTCATTTAAAAACTAGAAAGGCTGCTGAAAATAAGCATAAGAAATAAAGTAAACCTAGGACCAAACATATCATGAAATACTCCAAATTATTACACATTATCATAGCTACTAGCACCCCTGTCCTGTAATTGGTAAGAGTTTATGCTTTTCCAATATGTAAATAATAATCTTATTGAATAATCCTACTGAATAGTACCAAGTTATATGGCAATATAATTATAAATCTAACTTATATTGATTCTATTCTAGTCTTAATACTTGAGAATAAATCTATTACATGAGTACATAAAAAATAATAGCTACTTAATAAAAACTGGTTGGTCAATTATTTTGTGAGAAAAAGTTCTTGGTGACTGGAGAGGTACTGAGGTCCTATTCTGAATTAGGGACAAAGTATGATAAGACAACCTTGAGTAAACATGATTTACTTTGACACTATTTTTTTGACCAATTACAGCCTACACAAGTAGTGTTAATCTTTATATTGAAAATTCGTAGTAAATATTGTAAGTCTTTACAGTATATTTCTTTACAGTGTAAGTCTTTTGTATATTTCAGTGTTAACCCAGTTACTGTACTCTCTGACTTGAACTTAGAAACACCGAATCTTTGAGCTGGAAAACTGTTCCATTACCAAAGTGGAAACTCTCTTTGTGAAAACCTTAATGGATGGTGCAACTAATATAATAATACATTATTATCATTTATATTAGATAATTTTATGACTAGAATGTGCTACAGTATGATCGAGCTGAAAGTGCAAAATCAAAATAGCAAAATATTATTAAGTGCAAGTGAAAATGTTGCACTTATGTCATCAAACATGCAGCCATATTTCAAATTCTGCCTAATCTTACTTGTTTATGTACTATAATTACATCATAATTACTAAAGAAAAAACTGGTTAATGATCGCTTGATATTAAAGAAGCAAAAATTACAGAAGCTAAGAAATGCAAGTTTAACCAGTTATTTTAGCTTGGAAGTGACGCCATGTACTCAAGTTATCTTACACGTAACTAAGAACACAGTGTGTACGGGTCACTTGACTGGTGAAGCTTATGTCATATTTATAGCTGTATTATTTGCACTATTTTTAAAAGCCCATTCATAATTTATCTATATTACATACATTTCAGCAAAGACTTTATACCTATTAAGTAAATAACCCTGTCCTTGATTCTTAGATAGATATAAAGATGAAAAAGACACCATTTATGTGTATTGAATCTATTATTATATCTTAGTAAAGCTTTTGTTTAAAATATTTAATCACTATATAAAAATATAACTAAGCTCGTATAGTACTTGCTACTTAACAAAGGCTCAACAAATGTTTGCTATGATTAAATGGAGGTTAGGCAAGGTTAGGTAAATTCGATCTGGTTAAGATCAAGGAATAAGTAGTATATAATGGTTAATCAAATACTCCAGACTGTTACTATATATAGCTTATAAGAGTCACCAGTTTTCAAAGAATTGGAAAGCTATTTCTTTTAACCTGAAATCATAGTTCAAACTTTGACTTTTACTTATCCAGAATGCATGTCAGGATTTTAGTGCAATTAGTATGGATATGATTCTGCTATGGTTTTTGTAAAGGGGCTAATTTATAGAGCTTTGTAGTTACAGGTATCGGCAAAAATTTTTACTCTGATTAGATAAATATTTTCACTTGAATCTGGACAATACCAACATATACTCTGAGAAGGAAGAAATATTCCTTTGCTTTCTCCAAATCACTCAAAGAAATTAGAGACTATGAGTTAAAGTTGCTCTACCTGTTAGAGGCCCTTGGTAGCTGCTAGTAAAAAGATAATCAGTTTTCATACACATAAAGGGCAATGACTTAACAAATTAAAAAAAAGTTGCCCTAAAAATAGAGATGAGAGTGCTTGTCTGCTTCTTTTGCCCCTTGTTTCCAACCTTGCCCCCTTTTGAGACCATGTGACTGACAGTAAATTCCAACATGTAACAAATCTGCCTGTGGAATTGGAAATGTTATTTCTGCTTTCCCTGCTAAACTACCTTTCACTTCTGAAAGTGAGACTCTGATTCACTGCCTGATTCAATGTCAGATTCAACTCTTTTACTTCTGAAAGTAAGACTCAGATTCAGTAGACTACCTATTTTAGTCTCAGACTTTACAGGCTAGTAAGGTTACATTTTATTTTTAAAAAAATATGAGGACATTTAAAAAGAACATTTATTTGTTGTGAGTATTAAAACAGTAGCATTTGCTCGATGATTTTACCCCCAATAAAGGAATCCTTGAACTAGTTACTTTCAGGGCATTTCTACCCCTGTTTCTAGTTTCTTTAATATATTACAAAGACTTGCTATCTGTTTGGATATGCATTTTAGAATGTACAATGCTACATTTAAAACATTTACTTTTAGGTGAACCACATGATTTTATTCTATTCTAATTATACCTATATATGTACTTCCATTTGGTTTGTTTGATTCCTTAATTTTTATTTTTTCTAATCACTAAATTGAGTATTATGGCTTAAGTAAATAAGTTATTTAGAATGTGTATATTTATATTAAAATAACAAAAAAACTCAAAAAACTTAAGTGATTAGGTTATTAGACAAAAAGGTGCAGAGTTTGAGTATATAGAATTTTAAGAAACAACAGTCTATTTGTGTTTTGTTTTCAAACATTGCTTCTAAACCACAGGTTGACCAATTATAATGATTCTTAGTTTACCATAGTGGGAACAAGAGAGAAAATGGAACAGAAATCTGTGTGGTTAATAAAAGATCTTTCATCAGCTCTGATGGTGAAGTGTAGTTACTATTAGAACCTAAAGTTATTCAGAGGAGAGGTCCCGCTTGACATCACGTAAGTTCTTTATTTCTCTCTTTCCCTCAACTCCCAGTAAGACTCAATGAGACAGAGAAAGAGAAATCATAAACATGATTCACATTACTGTACTACTTTCTTCTCTGGGTACAATATTTACTTTCACAGGGGAATCATCTTGCTTAGTTTGTATGGTAATAGAAATTGTGTCTCAGATGTGGTTGTTAGAATACTGATTTTGGGGAAAAGGTGCCACATGGAGAGAAAAAACTTACGTCTTCCATTAAAAATGTAAACTCAAAAGAAAACGATAATCATGCTTTCCTTGTGACACTAAACTATAACTGTATCCTTCTCAATGTTTTAAGCAATATTATGGTACATTACTCAGTATTCTGTCAGAAAAGCTGAAACAATGTTTGAACAATTACAGTGTTGGGTTCCACTTCAATGGTTTCTTTTGAGAACTAAAGCAAATTAGCTCAAGAATCACTATTTCCACACTCTCACTCTTTTGGCTTTAAGTGGCTTTTGAAGGGAGTGTCCCCAGATGAGAAACTTCTAACACTCCTGCAGAGATGACCTGCTTGAAGAACTGGCTGCCTGATTAACTATTAACTGCTCTCAATAGGATTAGATAATTAAGGACATTGATGACCATTAATTAGGAGGAGGGCACATTAATTTGTCACTGGATAGGGCCCTTACAATGATTTATAGGTTAGTGCTACTTGCAAATGTGAAGGGAAAGAGAAAAAGAGAGAGAACCATTAAGTTACCTTATCAAGTGGCCAGCTTAAAGAGGGCAGAGGGTCAAAAAAGGGCCAAAGTGGTCACTTAAGGGTGAAGTCCCAAACACCAAAGCAGTGCCAAGCCACATTGACCATCATTTGGTGATGAAGTTAAAAATATGCTAATTTATTGGTGGCAATTCTCTCTTTTTATGGTTTCAAGCAGTTAAGACAAGTGGCCTGCTTAGGAGCTTTTCATTTGAAAAGAGATTAAACAAAATGGTTTGTCAAGGCTGCTTGGCTGTTTTATGTCTTTGTTAAAAAAAAATTGCACCGACTATACTGATAACTATCACATCACCCAAAAGCCATCTCTCTCTGAGCATTTACTTCATTAATAAATACATCAATTCTAATTCCTTAATAGTTCTCTGTTCATTTGCTCTTTAGGAAGATTAAGTTGAAATAAATATTTTGTCCTACTACTTTCTGTCACCATTGCTTACGTAAGGGTCACAAAAAAAGTTGTAGTGTCTTAGAAAATGTACTTAAAGACACTAGTGTAAATTATAATTTGTTTAGTTCCACACGAGGAAAGGTAATTTCACTAACAGTAAAGAAAAATGCTTTTAAAATGTAGATAAGAATCCTCTTAGCCACAGACAATAGTGGGTAGCATTCACATTCCACACCCAAGTAAGCGCAGCTCATTAACACTTAATTAAATATGCTTTTCAAAGCCATGGAAATATGCATATCATATTTATCATGTAAGTTTGGAGCTTACTTTTAATAGATATTCAAAAGAAAATCATCTTTGCCATACTTGATATATTGTAAAAATAAAACAATAGTCTAAAAAATTATTGTTATATTAGAAGAACTTAAAAATACTTAGCATAAAACATGTCCTAAGAATTTCATTAAAGTAAAAATAAGTGAAAATGAAAATAAAATAAAGTAAAAATAAGTTAAAAATAAGTTTATCTCAAGATTGTAAACTAAAACATAAAAATTCTCTTACCTCAATGGTGAATAGCTTCCTTTTTAATTTAAAAGCTAAGTCTTTGACATCTGATTCATCACAGATCAAGTTATTAAGCCGAGGAATCTGCCGTATATGAATCAATCCTTGTGGAAAAGAAATTAAAAGAAAAAAAATTTAAAACATTGTCATCAGATGCATAAATTAAACAGTCTTATAGCAGAATCCTGTAAATTTACACACAAGCATCCTCCCCTTTTAAAACTGGAGCTTACTACCAGGAGCAATGAAGCAAATGGTGTGATTATACTCAAGTAATCAAGCAGAATAAGATAAACAGAAATCCTTGTGCGAGGAAAACTAATTGCACTTTGGTACAGAAGTACAGATGTAAAGAGGGATCTTAATACTTGTCAAAACTACAGCCGGTTTGTGTGTGATTTTCTCTTGTATTTACAGTAAGCAAATATGGCTATCACCTTGCATGCTGCCCACGGCACCACTGAGTGATCTTTATTTTATTAAATGCACCACTAAGCAGCCGGCAAAACAAGGCTTATGGGTTACTGATAACCAGTGAAGCACTCATGAAAAATATTTCATTTTGTACCTTATTAATGACTTGAACAAACCATTGAAGAAAACTACATTTCAAAGTACACTCTAGGACCAAACATTAACCCCTATGCCATCCCAAGACACTCATTTCTATGGCATGTTAGACCTTTATGTAGCTGCTATAAGCTTTGCAACAGTGCTAGGTAAACCATGAGCTTTGGCCTCTTGTCAGTAGAAACACTTGCTAATTTTTTCTGACAAGGGCACTGGATAGCTTTTGTGCAGCCTAATGTAGTTTCTGACTAAACTAGGGGTCATTTCCCACAGATGAAGACATGGAAGGTTCTTCACTACATCTTTCTGCCTGACTCAGCTTATATTTAAAAATCGCCATCCCGAGGACACTGATCCAAAACATGGGGAGGAAAGGCAAATTACAGATTTGAACAAAGAGACAAATCTTACTTACAGAACTGCTTCTCTAGTACAAGGTTTTGTATGTGTGTTTAAATGCTTAATAATGCATCTATTAGTCTTAGCTTAAACCTTTAAAGGTACTTAGCTTTAGAAATGGCCTCTTCAAAAATAATTAACTAAAATACCTGAAAATTTTTCAAACTTAAAAAAATTTAAAAGGTGTTTCAAGAAGACAGCTTTTGGCTACAAATTAAGACTATCTCATACATACTATTTAGTAAAATATATTTATTAGAAATAAGCACACCATACTTTTATTTGTACGTTTCTTATTTTAACCTTGAATGTGCTTGCTTAGCTATCAAGAGGCCTTATAGAATAAATTAATAATTTCATCATCAGGTCCTCCTTATTAACAGAAAGCATACTAGTCATTAGAACCACTCTTTACTCGGTGGAAAATAATTTATCAATTCAGAGATTTTAGCACAAAGAATCATAGCCTTTCAACCTTTGCAATATTTTAATCAAAATAATATTTTTTAGAATATAAAATATTTTACAAAATGCATAAGCTCATAATACTTGTCTTATAAAATCTGGTAGCAGGCTTCAAATAAGCTACTCAGTCTTTAGAGGTTTCCACAGAAGTATGGTAGTTCCATAACAATGGTAGCAATAATTTATTTATACTAAGAATAATAGGTAAAAATCTGTTATTCACTACATTCTATATTTGTTTTAGACCTATATTACTAAGACCTAAATACTACACTTTTACTATTCATATAGTTCTACATAAGACTCTTTATTAAAAAGAATCCCCAAATTAACCAAATGACTACAATATTACTAAAAGTAAAAAAAAAAAATAAGCAAAAGTCTGATGAATTCTGCTGTGTTTATATCAAGGTGGCAATATTTTATAATTTGTTCATAACTCATACTAACAAGAAAATGAGTAAACAGAGAAAAGTTCAAACATAATCAAAGATCTTCTCTTTCTGAAAATGTAACTGACTAGGAATCTGTAAATATAATCCAGTATGTATCTTATCATATGGCTAGGCTTTGTAAAGTATAAACTGCTATAGAAAACTGTCATTATTAGAATTAATACGATATTTATTTCAAACATGGCTAGTAAGTATGACTGATTACATGGCTACCTTAAGCCACTAGGATGACAAAATATACACCTGACTCAGCCATGCCTCAGTACTTGGGTTTGACTCCTTTCAGTTATTATAGTCTATAGTCTTAATGTAGTTGGGTAATAAGCTGCCATGGAAGACTGGACAGGAATGGAAAATATTTAACAGGTGTATTATAAAATTCATACTCCTTGACAGTAGATATTTGGATTGAATAGGATGCTTCCAGGTAACCTAGAAGCAGCCTGCTCCTGCTCTTCTCATTATGAAGGTTGTACTTACCATGATAATCCTTATACAATGGGTTAGTTTCTCTCTCAGAACCAATAAATGATTCCAGACCAACTACTACATCTGACAAGGTTGTGACACGGGCAATAATGGCTTTATTCTGCAAAACATGGAAACAAAACAGTAACGTTAAATATTATGTTAATAGTATAATATCTATAAAATATCCCTATGCCATCTCATGAAAAACTGTAGTGGAGATAGACTATCAACAGTGAAATAACTTAAAAGTTAAAGCTACTATAGGCTGAAAACTGGATGGAAATATGCCCTTAATTGAAAATGCTGGCCCATGTAGTCATGCTATTCTAATTTGAAGAACTGAAGGGAAAACATAAATTGGTAGAAGACATAAATTTATTAGTTCTGATAGAGAACATAAATTGATTATTTTTCACTTGTATTAAGGAACAAGACTACCTTTATTCTCATACATGATTATTTTTCAAATTACTTCATCCAATGCCCATTGGAAAACCTGTCAGACAGCAGGATTCAGAAGCAGTAGATGGTACAGCATAAAGTATAGGGCAAGAGTCCCACTGTCGTCTGTCAGCTGGGACAAGGTCCCAGCCCTATAACAGCTGAGGTCCTCTGTGACATATTAGAAACATGGAAAGGACCAGCTAAGAGACTGCAACATGGCTAGCTATGAAGTCTTCTGTTTTCTCTTTCCAGATGCTGCCATTTGGCTCTGGGATAATAATAAAGGGAAAGAAAAGATGGTAGATGACTAACATTTAGACCAGTAGCCTATCCTTTATTTCTCGACACAATCTGAGATGAACTGAAATACTGCTAAATACATTTTAATAAATGTCACATTTTGCCAGATCAAAACAATAGGTTAATATGTTTATAAACATAGTATGTCCAGTTATTAAGTAGCAAAAGTTCTAAAATACTAAGAATCTCCTGGCTATAAGAATATAATCATCAAATATCTGGTAGGGTTTTTTTTTTTAATTCTTTAATTACTGGAAATCTAGTATTCCTTTTAGCCCCTGACAGGGTGGTAGATTAGAAAACTGTGATTATATGCTATGATGTCTTAGACAATTTTTTGCTTGGCAGATCTAGATAAGCTGAAAATGTTTTTTGTAAAATTTTGCAATTTTGAAACTCTCATTTTATACAATGGTAATGCCCACCAGTTTAAAACTAATCTTTGAAGAAGAGAATGGGAAATATAAAACAGTCAAGAAAATTTATCAGCCTGCTATATCCCCTGTTAGAAAGAGGTCAAATATAATAAAAGATTTTCATTTTCTGGGAACATGATTACAACTGAGCTTACTAATATTCTTGTTTCTTAAGTCCCTTTATAAAGATGGCCTAAGAATGAAAAATTAAAGAGGGCTGGTCAATGTTACCTGACTTGGTATTATGAAACACATAGTAGCCTGTGTCACCAAACATTCTGTTGAAATGACTGGTTAACTCACACCTAGAGCAGTATTTGAAACTCCTTCATAAGTTGGAATGTGTGTTATATAAAGAATGTTTCAGCATTATACAAGGAATGTTTCAGCCTTTGGATCAGTGTTGTTAAAAAGAATCAGTAAAAATAATTATTCTTAATTGTCTTTAATATGTTCAATCACGTGGGCACACTAAGTATAGAAAAACATAGTTTGGAAATGCCTATTTTTTCTAAGGCAATTTTTCATTCAATGGTGAGAAAATAATCCAGATTGATTCCTTACTTTCAGTTCTGTGCCACAGGGGATGGTCCTACTCCAGGAATAACAGGGGCTTCAGAGGCCATAAACATGTTCCTCTCAATATTTCTTTAGCCAAAGACCATTATATCAAACTCATCCAGGTTGGGTTTCAGCCAGTTATTCTTCACCCAAACAAAAATGTCTGCCAGACATTCCAACAGCTGGGATACAGTTCACAATGAGTCAACTTGAAAATGATTCATTGTGCTGAGTACTGAACAATGTTGGGGTGGGGGTGGGGTGTGGCTGGGTTGGTAGTAAAGGGTGAGAACAAGTGGGAGATGAAGAATAACCATGTGGCTCCCCCATTAAGAAGAATCATGGATAATAACCAGCAGGCTCTTATCATTTCATTTTTAGGATAAACTCAACTGGGAAGAGTACTCCTGTCATGGACCCTCAGATGAACAAGCATTTATAAAGGCTACTGACAATATTTCTTAATCAAAAGGTCAGATTTCCTTTTATCTATAAATAAAAGACTAAGCCTTTTTATCTAAATATCTGAAACTAAAATGATACAAGTCAATTTTTGTTAGAACTCATCTATTCAAGATTTCAGTGATATAAACTAGGACTTTCTCAATTATATGAATAACAGAAATTGCAAGGTTTAAAGATGAGATAAATTTCCATTCTGATAGTACATAAGCAAAGTACTGTGTATTTAAATGGTCAACCTGACATTTGCTTATTTCAAAGAGGATTTACTTCTTTCATTTAATCTTAACATTTACTAATAAACCATTTTACATCCTATAATGTTTATCAACTTTATAAGTCTTTTAAAGGTAGTTTGTGGGAGATTTAAAAAAATCAGTTATCCACTTCGAAAGGGAAAACTAGTGAATTCTAACTGAAAAATATGCACAGCCTAGATTTCACAATTTTCCAGAAACTCATTCATGTATTTCATTTATTATATTTCTAAGTTTCACAGGTTTGCATCATAGTCATTAACTATAAACAAGAGTCTATTGAAAAAACTTCCATAAAGTATTAGTACAAGAATAATTTTTCATCATACTATTACCATAAAATTAGTTATATAGTTTCACAGTGATCTTACTGCTTTCTGCACATTTATTTTGCAAAATTATTTGTATAATGTGGCAGACCAGATTAATTGTGAAAGTTGTAGGGATATCTGAAAAACATTTATAGAATAAAAAGCAATGGAAATTACATAAGAATAACATCTAAGTTTCTGACTGAGAAAATGTTTATTTTTACTATAAACTTATTCAACCTTCTAGTTATGTGTAGGAGCATAAAAGATATTTGGGCTTATAAACGTATGTGTTTTAAAAAGTTAAAAAAATTGTTATAGATTACTTCTGCACCTCCAAGCTTCATAAGGAATATGGTCTATTGATGTAATCTTACCTTAAAATCATTCTTGTCAAAAAGTCTTTCAAATAATAATATTAATACTAAATGGTCTTTTAGATAAAAGCAGGTGAATTTACTTAGAAGAATATAAAATTAACAGCTTAAAAAACCCATAAAAGCATAATAATCACAATTCACTTTAGCAGGAATACACTATGGATAATAAATTGTCATAATATAACCAGCAGTGTTCAGAAAGCTTTAGCATAATGATCTGAGCAGAGGCCTTGAAACTGGAACATCCATATTCTCATTTTAACAGATTCCAAGTGTTTTTATGTTATTCACCAAGATGTAAAACCCCTTTGGTCTTCAGTATATATTAATAGATAGAAATGGAGAAGTAGAGGCATTTGTACGTCAATTACTTAAATTTGAACATAATCTTTGCATTAATTTTCAAGTTGTTACAATATCGTTTCCAGTACGGAACATTTCAGTAAGGACATTCAGAATTCACCAATCTGGGTAAATTAATGCTTATGGTGTATGTATGTTATAATGACATCACCCAAGTATGTACAATGATATTGCCACCCCTCCTCCTTGCCCATCTGGATATTAAAATGTAGGATGGCTCAAAAATCCTTCTTATCCTAGACAAATCTCCCTGCGCTCCTGGGTGAGAGTTGTCAGCTCTGGATAGTAGCCAAGACATGACTAGGAGGGAAGCCAGAAGAGAGGAAAGCCAGTGTCCAGGAGTTTTAAGAGTTTGCTGGCAATCTCAAATAGCATTGTATTAAGTTACATAAAGGGCTCTTAAAGTTTTCTGTTGCAACATAATTTAATTAATCATTTAAATTTAAAATATGTCAAATGGTGTTGCAAATAAGCAAAGCAAATCAGATTGTCCAGTCTTCTACCTTTGTATTTCAATTTTAATTTCAAAAAAAAACCTTCAGAGTATTTGTTTTGACTGTTCTCTGTTTGGTTTCATAGAGTGTTTCCTGTTTGCCATTATACAATGGTAATACATTTTTTATTAGGGTAAAACAAATCTGTTAAATGGATTTTAAATTAAGGAAGATTAATTTAATGCTCCCTTTCAGATCAAAGTTCTTAAAGTCAAAACTATGAATTTTGTTAAGAGATAAAAATTTAATCACTGCCATTTAAAGCTCCTACAATTTTCTAATAAAAATGGTTCAGATATCTACTTAGAGTTACCAAGTAACAATCAGAATACCTTAAACCCTCAATATTTCCTTATTTTCCCAAAACTAATTATCTCAACAGTATAAAAGATGCAATTTGTACGAACACAAAATATATTTCCAGAAAAAATTTTAGTAAGAGGATTAAGAAGTAATTAACCAATAACTTAATTATCAAGAAGCTTGAAAGGGGTAAATCAATCAACATAAAGCATTTATGCAACGCCTCAAGTAAGAGCAAGTTCCTGAGTTACTCTATACTATTTAAGAAAGATAGGAAAAATAATATGAAAGGAAGAGCTCTCATTTGAGTATGGCACAAATAACAGATTTGGGGCTATAATAGCCCGAAAGCACTATTAAGTTAATTTTGAAGACTTAGATAAATATTTAAGTTACTTTACGTTTGACCATAATACATGATGTAGTGGTTGTGTGTTGGGAGAGAGCGGGGAGGGGAGTACCCACAAGAAAAGCAAGTATGTCATAATCAACAGTTCAATTTATAACATTTTCTGAAAAATGATATGCAGAGAACATGAATATAGGAGAACTTAAGACCTTTCTTTGTTCTGTAATCCAAAAAATAAGCTTGGATCCAAGGATAAATATGGGGATATTTAATAAGACATTTATTTTTCCATGCTTATTAGGTTTTCCATTCTACAGTAATCAAGACTGTGAAATAATAAAAAGTTATTTATACTACATTTTTAACTTTTTACAAACTTGTCCCACTTCCTCCAGAGTTGTCACTTGCTTCTGTGGATTAGATTTTTATTTTATTAAAAAATATTTGATAGTGGGAAAATAATTCTGTTCATAATCATGAAATTTAGAATATTTGTAATAAACTGATGACGGTATTAGATTAAATCTTTCCAGATTTAACACGGAACTTCAAGTCATGGTTAATTTTAGAATACAGAGGAACTTCTGTAAATTAAAAAAATTCTAAATGTAACATTATCTGCCTAGCATCATATAGTAATATTCACATAGGAAAACTGTAAAACAAACATATTTTGGTTCTTTATCCTAAAGCTCAAAACGTATCCACAAAGGGGCTAATGGCAAATATTCCTAACCTTGATGGTGAAAAAAACTGCTAAGATATCAAATTTTACTAGGAATAGGCAATGGAGCCACAACTTTTTGTGTTTTCTACATGGTCAAATACTCAATATTCTAAATTTTGATATGAAAATATTGGTTCTTTATAATTGAGACTTTTTTTAAGAACACATTGTTTTACTTTCAGAAATATTGTTTATATTATATTTACACTGGCTTCAAATATTCAAATAAACATACTTTGCAGAACATTTATTTATATTAGTTTTGTTTCTTTTTCAGTAAGTTATTCTATAAAACATTACAAAAACTTACATATTCTGAAAAGTCAGAAATGGGATGAACAAAATACTGAAATGAATAGGCTGGACAGAATAATGGTATAATATTCAAAATTAATTGTAGGCATTTTTCTTAACTATACATCTAGTTTCATATTAAGAAATCTACCCACAGAAAAATTTGTCTTTCATGATTAAAAATGTTTTATGGGAAACTTCCTAAATCAGAAATCTTTTTTTAGTACTTTGATACTTGAAACCCTAAAATGCAATTCACAGATGTCCAAAAGCTCACGCCCTGCCTTGAAAAACAATTGCTAATATCCAAATATCAAACAGAGCATCCAGCTGATGTTTGTGATGCAGTAGCAGGTTAAAGATACTAAAGTTTAAAATCAGCTTAGAATAATCCCATATTGAGTATAAAATTATAGCCTGTCATCAGGAGCAGGTTGACAAGAGCCAGGTCCAGATGGGAGACTGGCTGGGAAAAAGGCTGAGGCAGGTGGGAAAATGATGGGAACCTGACGGAAGACAGAACTACTCCCTCTGCTGGCAAGGTCCTCACCTGCTTGAATTTTGAACAAATGACTAGCTTTTCTTTAATTATTTAAGATACTATCAATAAATTATGTAAGGTGCCCCCCTTTCAGTCTGCGCATTTTCAAACTCAGGGTGTCTTATTTTCACCAGATCAATTTGGCAAAAATATAAAGATCCAATGTTTCACCAGGAGGTCAAATTATTTATCTTGTAATTTAAGTGCATCATAAACATAAAATATAGCATTGCTTTTATAATATAAGGCCTTTAAAAATTAAGAATGCCTTTGAATTATGTTTGTTGATATATACACTTTCTTGAAGAAAAAAAATTCTTGGGCTACAGACTTCACAATCTCTTTCTCAGGCTCTGCATAATGCCCCGTAATGAAATAATATAGAAATGAACCATATAAATCAACTATACAGGGAACAAGGAAACAGCATGTCACAGCAAAACAGCATAGATGTACAGCGCCAAACCTATCTGATAATCTAATGATCTGAGTTTACAGATATTATGTACTAATATGTAAGAAATTAAGAACTAATGTTGACACAAAAAGTTTGCTAAATTTTACAGAAAAATTATTCAATATTTGATTTTCAATGTAAGTTAATAGCTGCAGCAAAAACATTTAGTAAAAATCTGTTCTAAGATTTTGGCCTACAACCAGAAGCTCCCAGAACAGGAGGGATCAGCTTTTTCACCCACTGTTCTCATCTGAATCCTGGCTTAAAAGCTATTCCAGCTCCCAGCTTTCCAGAAGGCTCCATCCCAGGAATCCTTGCCTGCCATTTGGTTTGCTGATTTTAATCTCTCAGGACTTTCTTACAGTGGCTCTACTATGCTGAACTGGCACTTGCTTCTAGAAGTGAGTTATTATTAAACCTGTAGGTCAATTGTGGCACTAACAACTCTTTGGAAGCTTTCAGCCACAGTGTACAATTTGCTAGTCTAATTAAATATTAATTCTAAGTGTTACATTTTGTGGCTAAGAGCTTTTATTTTCTATCATCAGCCTGGAAGAAAAAGAGGTTACAAGCCTAATTTAATCTCTCCCCTGTCCTTCCCAACATTAAAGATTAACTACATAGGGTGCGAAAACATTATTAAAGAAGCAAGAACTCTTCATATAGCAATAATAATGTAATTAATAGGAAAGGGATAAAACATAACACTAGGACATAATATCTGACGTGGTACTTAAACAGCTTTAAATTGTAATTGTTTACAAGCATGTTTGGTCTCAACATTAAAAAATAAGTATCATTCACATTTGATGACGGTAATCTTTCTTTAAGGGAAAGTACGTAACCAAGTATATAAA
This sequence comes from Homo sapiens, assembly GCF_000001405.40. Classification (NCBI taxonomy): domain Eukaryota; kingdom Metazoa; phylum Chordata; class Mammalia; order Primates; family Hominidae; genus Homo; species Homo sapiens. The sequence goes on along the minus strand of NC_000011.10, from coordinate 31,640,342 downwards.
TAGGAATAATTCAAAACTCATGTTTTCTCACAGGTATTTTTCAGATATCTTACAATGCCAAAGAAAAAAATTTAGTAATTTTATTTGTAAAATAAATGAAAAATTAAATAAAGTTGTACTTGTTTTCTATACACAAAAAGTGATATAGAAGATAGTTTATGATAAAAATAATGTAAAAGATCATTTCCCCTCTTTTTCTCCTACCATATTCATGTAGCTTGAACACACAGGGCTCCCCACACCCCCTTCTGCTCCCAGAACAGTTGTGTCCATCCTTGGACACTGGGCATTATAAAGATGATGCAGTCCAGCAGCCAAAGATTCCATATGTCCAAACAGATGACTCAATCTCCATACCGTGATGAGACATTTCACTATTTATATCATTGATACATTTGAAAAGTTTGGCCCTAAATAGCCCTTTAGCTAATAACTACTACCATTATAGGAACTACAGAATGAATAACAGTATGAACAAGAACATCACAAAGTTATTTTAGAGAAAGGAAAAATATTTTAAACCAAATTTTTTTTATGGTTTACTGAATATGTTTTGGTTAGATTAAGTGTAATGAAAGGTTTCTGAATCGTACTTCTCTTTTAAAGATGAAAATGACAATTTAAAATATATCCTTACTGACGATTTAAAATATATCCTGTTCTTATTCAATATGCATATTTACACAAAGACAAAGTTATACATATACTACTATGCTTAATATAGACAGAACTTTATAGATAATTTAGAGTTTGTGTAAAAAGTTTCAATCATCCTTGTCCAAAAAAGTAAATTAAATATATACGTATAACGCACACAAGCTATGATGTGACTTTAAAAATTAACCGGGTATCAGCATGTGTAGTCTGAAACAAGAAAAAAAGCTTGAGCTGTAAGAATTATAAGTCCAAAGTCTATGGTAGAAGGACTGAAACACAGACTATTTGTTATTTTAAAGAAAAACAGATTCTGTTTACAACTTACTATACTGACACAAAGTCACTGGAATTTGATAAATATGATGTAAAACTGAAATGGATATAATATAATTTAGTTCATTTTAAAAACTGCTTCTTTTTAAACTCTTAAATACGTAAATTTCTTATAATCAATTTCAGAGTCGTTAAGAAGATCTGAAAACATTAAAGGCAGATTCTCAGTTAAGAATATTCTGATTAAGAAAAGAATTCATAAAAAATGACACTCTGAATATCTGGCTTTATCCTTTAGTAACTGTAGCTATGATCAAGAGATTAATCTGTAATTTTCATCCCTAACTATTCTTCTTAATAAAGTGCATTTAAAAAGATCATTTGAAATAAAGTTAGATGACTGAAGGTGGTGTTATGCTTAGATCAACAATTAGATAAAAAATATTTTCCCAAAATTTATAGCTGTAAACTCACAAAAGTATATTTTTCTTCACCATGCAATTATTCTTAGTTCTTGTTTTAAGAATAAAAGATTTCACACTGAGAGAAATTCACAAGGCCATTGGAGTCCACATTTCATAATCCCATATTAGTGGTTAGTTCTAAAGCGGTCCATTGCTAGACTTAGAGTTTAGCTGCTAAAATACTCAGCATGAACAAAAAAGTTTATGGATGTGAAAAGGTTTGTTCTGAATTTCTCTACATAGAAACATACTGTATCATTCACTTCAGTAGGTTCAAAGCTCTAATACATTAATGTTATAGAAGATTAATTTGAAAACACATCAATTAAAATAACACACTAAATAAAATCTCATTCATTTTTCAAGAGACATATTTTAAAAAGGCCCTTTCTCCCTCCTTTTCGTCAGAAAATGAATTTTCCTTGGTATAAGCTAACATGCTGGTAATAGTTTTCTTCAATGAGATAGCTGGGAAAAAATTCTACAGATCAAATTATTATAAAACAGTGGGTATATGACAAAAATTGAATAAGGCTATTAATTGATCAAGTGTCAATGATGACAAATGAAAATATGCTATAGGCTAGTTTCAAATCTGAAATTTGGTTGAATAAAGGAAAGCTAAATAGTTTACCAACTACTGTTCTCTAGACAAGTACATTAAACTCTGGCAATACTTAAAATTATTATACAATGAAAAAAACATACTGACATATTCTATGATCCAGAATGTCAAAGGAGTTTTCATTCTTGCATTATTGTTGTTTATATTTTAAAATTCCTTAAAAGTGCAGACTATGACAGCTTGAATAAAGATTAGCAATAATAAGTAAATTTTCTTTTTGAAAAAAATGCTGTGAGAATGGTATAAGACAACTTTCTCCATTTCTAATTTTATTAATTAGTTTAAGTGTTTCAATATTTATTTCCTGACAGTTTTAGGTAAAAGTGCCTTAAAAAATACAAATCAAAAACAACTTGCCACAGATTATACTAAAAAATGCATAAACAAGGGGAAATTTATTTTCTTTTCACCTCACTAATAAAATCATCATAAGGCACAAAACTAAGTTTCTATTTCCAAAAAGAATAAGTGTTATTGGTCACCATTTCTTGAAGCACACAACTGTTACTGGGAATTGAAAATAAAATTACCTATTTTCAAAAGCCACAAAATGTTTGCATAATTTGGAGGTGGATGACAAATTTTGCTAGTGGTAAGCCAATTCCCATTTACAGAACAACAAATTATTGTTTCATATCTTGCTAGATATGGAAGTCAAACAGTATCCTATTGTAACTGCTTTAAAGTTACCACTTTGCAAAAGAAAAAGATAACTCATTAAAAAGTTTCAAAGGGTACAAAAACATTTCTGTTTCTAACAGTAAAAGGGGGACAAGCAGCACAATGCTGAGTGTAGCCAAAATATAATAACCTTTAATATGGGTATTTACACCAAAGTTTTTAAAAGTTGCAATAATATTCTTATAATTATAATAATATGTAGGAAGAGTTTAAATATAGTGTTTTAGTTACTTTTCTTAGAAGTAACCTTTTCTTTTTTTCTTCTTTCAATCCACGACAACCTCCTTCATTCAACAACAGAGTTTTGAACAGTTGAGTTGTGAGAATGTGAGCAGCTGCTGTTATTATAACTAAAGGTCTGTCTACTGCTTGAGTCTGAGAGACCACATGTTCGGCTGTCCTCTCATCTTGCCATCCTCACCAATTAACTATTAACATGGAGGGCTGTACACATGCTCTTGGGGGCTCTTTAACAGGCTTCTTGGCGAGTGGAACAACTACACAGCAGGGATCTGGGAACTGAGTAATGCTGGAATATAGGGGAGCCGTCCATAGTTCTGCTCCTTCTAATGACACTTTACTCCACAGTTCAGCATGTAACAAAGTCTGTACTTAACTTAGCCATTTTCACACACATTTTTAGTTCAATGTCTTTGGGCAGATACTAAAACTATATTCTATCAAGAGACAATATGAGTAATAATATTACTTCAAAGGGAAAATTGTTTAAGATTATATGCATATACACTTAAGACATTCATAATATATTTGTTGAACAATTTTCGTGTTTTCTTAACAGATATTTAGAATTTATTTTTATATACTCGTTCCAAAGTATGCTTGCCATTTTTTTCCTGTGGCATTAAAGAAAATAATCTTCAACCTGAAGGAAATAAGAAATTTCAAGTTCAAAGTTGTGGGACTGAACATAAAACATTTCAAATGCAAATTAAAAAATAAGTCTTCTTCATTCTACTCACAAAAGTCTTATTATAACAATAAGTTAAAATCAGTTTTGAATCTATGTCATTATTTTCCCTATTTTAACTTTTCCCTCTCTTTGCAATTTCCTTAACTATGTGTTCTTTCCCCTACAATGAAATTAAACATGGGAAGCATGCCAAAAGTACAATAAAGGGTAACTAATCATTACTATACAAGTCTGACAGAATGCTAATAACTAAAGTAAGAACACCGATTGGCTGGTTTAACAATTCAAGAAATAAGGATATTTTATACAAAGTACCTTTAATATTAATTTATATAATGCACTCAAATAAAGATATCACAATTTTATTATCTATACATACCCAACTATATGTATGATAAAATTTTCAAGGATATCCAACTACATTTCTACTTCTGCCCGAAACCACTCTACTACCATCCCCAAGCTCAAGTATTCATATACTCACATATACTACTTTTCTGTTCCATCCTATCTTTTACATTGTTGAAAAAGTTCCATGTGAATAGGAATCTTGTTTGTCTTGTTTGCTACTGTATCCCTATGGGTGCCTAGAACAGTGCCTGCATTATTTGTTAAATAAGTGTATAAGCTAACTTACCCACAGTCATTCAATCACCATTTAAACCCTAACTTACAATCTCCAGAGGTGGCACTGGTCATAGTGGACAGGAAGTTGATGAATGATGTTTAAAGAGTCTTGTTACAACATGGTGATGCTACTAATATTTGGATGGCCAACTGACTTTATCTATGCCTCCTGGTCTGTCTCAGGCCTAACCTGTGAGAAGATCCTGTCAGTGTTTTTCATAAAAAGAGGCTGCTGGAGATTTCTATTGCTTTGATAGACTTTTATATCTTATTTTTTGTAGCCTGATCTCTGTTCAAATCCTCAATTTTGGAGATCTGTTTAAGTAATAATAGTGAAGATGACAACTGCTAACATATATTGAATGCCTACTATGTGCCAGCACTGTTTAAGTACATGTTATTACTAATCCTCTTCACTGGATACTTTTTGCTCCATTTTCACAGATGAAGCTGAGGCTGAAAAAATTAAGACTTGACTAAGACTATGAAACTAGTTGGATCCATCTGCCTCTAAGATCCCAGGTTCTTTCTATCATCGAATGGTACTTTGTGCAGTTTGTTTCTAAATTTTGACTCTAGTATCTAGGTTGAACAAGTAGCACAGCACAGTGGCGTTAAGATTATGGTAATAGGAGGTAGACTACTTAAGTCTAAAGTCTGCCACTCATTAGCTGTGTGATCTTGGGAAAAGATAATGACAGTACCAACCATACAGGGTTATTATGAGAATTAAATGAGTTGATATTTGAAAAGCATTAAGGACTGCAACTGGCCCATAGTAATCACCACGTAACTTTTTATTAAATAAACTCACAGTGCCCTGGTTATATGTATTCGTACATCTTTGATTACCTTTCTAAGCATACTGCTTGCAATTCTTATTCTCTTTCCTTAGCCAAAAGACTGATTTTCCTTGACAGACTTTAAAAGTTCTTAAAAGTTTTACTTCATATTTATATAATGATGGGTTTGAACAAGTACAAGTTTTATATTTTCTCCTAAACATTTTCATATAAAAACAAATATATGGTCAGACATTATGTTCAAAGAGCAAGGGAAAATTTACTTGTTTTTTATAACTCAATTGGTATTAGGGCCAGAAGACTACTATATGATAACTTTGCAAAATCGTCTAGGAATGAGAGATTGAAAATTGGAAAAATTTTAGAAGGTTGTGCAGTTTTTTAAAAAAAGACATTCTCTGTTTTGAGGAATATGTCTTAATTCTTTGTCACACTATATAACTTTATACTCATTACCAAAATCTGACCCTATATTTTGCTATGTCTATTTCAAAGAAGTCTCTTTACTGCTATGTTAAGAAGCATAAATTTAATCTCTCTTCCAGTTATACAGGGGCTGAAATATACCTGTAAAGTATCAAAGTTAAAATATTGTTTCAGGTTCAGACATCCAGATCACTACATCATTCACTCATTATTTAATCAGTTATCTAGATAGGCTGATTGGAGGTCATCTGATAGAATCTGCTGTTCCCTTAAACAGAGGGTACAGGATTCACTGTCACAGAAATCCGCAATGGGAATCTCTTCCTTAAGTAATAAAGATGCTCACCAACAAAATGGCTTTAAAAAAGTGTTTCCCTTTTCTTTCTTTCTGTTTTCTCACAGAGGCCCCTTTGGAATAAAATTTAAAGTTACATATGTACATATATTTTTTTCATGATTGTTTTTCTTTGCTTTGCAATTATGCAAAAGGAAGCATATTTTCATCTTTTTTCTCTCTTGTCTAGAATGGAACTTTTTGTTTAATCTTTTATATGTACTAATTTATCAAATATTTTACAATAATAATTTTCTCTTAATAAATATGGAATAATTACAATGTTAGCCAGTAACTTTTTTTTCCTAATAGAAACTTAGTGTCATCAAAGGTAGTTAATAATTCAGGACACATAGGATATAGTGTGACAGAGGGTAAAGAGTTTAAATTTTAGAGTTAGCCAGATCCGAGCTTGAATAGCAGCTTAAAATGTACAACAGATATGGGATATTGGATAATCATTTAACTTCAGTATAGTTGTCTTTGCAAAGGGTGAAATCACAGCTATCTTGCAGGGTTTTTGTGATGATTAGTGAAGCCATATAACCTAATGGTGAGGGTGATAAGGTTTGAAGTCAGGGAAGAACACTGGCCTGCTACTTATTAACTGGGTGACCCTATGGAAACAGAGGTAAAAACTATCTGTTTCACAGGGTAGCACTGAAGATTCAAGGACATAATACTTGTAAAGTGCTTGGGATGTAGTACATGGCTAATAAATAGTTGTAGTAACAGCACAGTAGTAGTAGTAGTATAAGTAGTAGTATTTTCACCAGTATCTGATAAGTCTGTTTCATGTTTATTTATCATAAAAAGCTCACCAGGTCTACCCAAACTATTATTCGAGTACTAAATTTATGATAACTTATTAACAATGAAAGCAATACAAGTATGTATACAATGTCTAGCATGATTAGAGAAAAGAGTTTCCTTATGATATGTCTGCAACTGTAAACTAATAATAATAATTTAGGTCCAGATACAATGTATAAAAAGCCCTTCAAGGAAAACCGAATCATCCTCTGCTGCCCATTATAAATAAATAAATTCTACTGGCCAAGGAGACCAAATTCACTTCTTTTAAAATTTAATTTAATTTTTTGTAGAGATGGGGACTTGCTATGTTACCCTGGCTGAACTTCTTGCCTCAGGTGATCCTTCTGCCTCAGCCTCCCAAAGTGCTGGGATTACAGGTGTAAGGCACTGCATCTAGCTAAATTCACTTTTCATTTGTCACACTTTTCAGTCATATTTGCTATATATGCTGTATATAATGAATGTAACTAAATGTCATTTTAATAAATTTGCTATTTGCAGGTAGGGTCTGGGTATGTTGGAACAGAGATACTAAGATTACATAACTTTATAAAGATTCAATATTCATTTAACATTTACTGAATATCTAGGAAAAGCCTAGGTACTGTGTTAAGAATTTTAAAACCACGTTTAATATTATGTTATTACCATAAAGCCTATAAAGAAAAGTATAAATATCAGGCCCTCCCTCTATGGAGACTACAATGTATTAGATATATAAGATTATATGAAATCACATGCTTGAGGCAGACAATATGTACTTAACTATACTAATATTAACATATACTTTACATTAGAATATTAATTAAAGAAACTAAAAGCTGTTTCAGAACATGAACTAAAACTGTAGAAAAAATTCAAATGGAAATACATTGATTCATTAGTAAAAGAAAAAACTATAAAATGTTTGGAAGAAAACACAAGAGAAAAAGACTGTCAAGATTGGAGGTGTGAGGGAGATAAACCACTAACCATTAAAAAATTTATAAATTAAACTTCATCAATATTGAAAACTTTAGCTCTTCAAAAGACACTGTTAAGAAAATAGAAAAAGCAAGTCATAGATAGGAGGAAAATTATTACCAAGTTGTAGCTAAAATATCAAGGAACTTTACAAATTGATAATGAGACTATCAATAAAAAAATGGACAAAAGACAGACAAAAGAAGACATGCAAATGGCCAGAAAGCACCTGAAAAGATGGTCAACATCATTAGTTATCATGGAAATGCAAACTAAAACCACAATGTCATACTATATTACTATGAATTATGAAAAAGTAGTTCTGGAAATTTCGTACCTGGATCAGATGTGTTGGCATTGTGATGATGCAGGCTGAAAGAGAGGTTCTCAGAAGACCACGGAGAACATAGAGGAACTTGGTAAGGCTGTGACTGTTGCCACCATTTTCTGCACAGCAAATATCGTCTCCCCATAAAGGTGAGCCAAGATTCTGAATTCCTATTCTTAAAATGTTTCTCTGTTTTTTCTAAAAGAAAGTGGGAAAAAAGCAAACATATAAAGTTTTGTTAATCAATAGAATACCACTTTTATCTGTCAGTTCTTATCTTTATAACATCAGGGAGACAATGTCAATAGATGTGTTAAAAATTTTTATGTACTATTAGTACATAAAGCAGTATAAATGAAACTGTTTAGATTACAAGATTATAAAAAATAACTTTAACTTTTGAAAAATCTGAAGAGTATCATAAGCCTTAAGCTTTAAATTGTATCTAAATTTTAACAGCAACAACTCTAAGAATTATATTTAATGCACTTAAAATATTTAACAAAACAGATAATAATGATGAAATCTAAACTAGAATGCTTGCAAACCCCTTCTCAGTATTAGAAAATTCTTTCAGTAAACTATAAATTGTTCAATATTTCTCATTTAATTTTATCCTACCTACTGCCTGATCTTTTCTTTGAAAAAAGCTTAAAGATATATGACTTTTTGTTTTTATATTTTACATTTGCCTCTGGTTTTTCTTCTTGAAGCTGCTCTTAAAGTAATAATTTAAGTTCAACACTCTTCGTAAAATTTAACAGGTGAACATTTAGAACCTGAGCCTACTGACAGTAAGGTCACAATAAGTGACTGTATTTCTTGGGAAAAGAACATTTAAAAACTATTAATTAAACTGTGAATACATCACTGTGAATAAACATTTAACAACAGATGTGTTTATAATAAATTCTACTGTTTGGGTTATTCTAACTAAATAAATGTTTTGTAAATACTTTCCTTAGAAATTCAGCAAAATTTCTGGGCAAAAGAAGAAGGCGTTAACAAAACCTGGCATGTGCAAATAATTGAAAATTCATTATTAGAATTGATGGGAAAAGTAAGTTTGCTCTTAAAGCCATAATTTGGAATGCATGCTACTCTACAAGTGATTTCTGATGAAACAAATTCCTAAAATGTATCACTTGCTATTGCTATAAAATACCACTGATAAAATTTATTAACCAACTAGTTATTGTCTAACACAATATATCTATTTCCCTGATATTACAAATGAAAACTGAATTTGTGTATTTCTTTTTCAAGCAGAATTTATTGACCATGGAAAGGAAGAAAAATGAATACAACACTGAAATGTTAGAAGATGAAAGCCTAAAGGAACATAAGCTAGTAAATGAATAAGAGAGAATTACAGTCAGGACTATGTAACTAAGAAGATGTATGATTCTGGACAAGACACACACATTACTTAGGACTTTGTTTTCTCTTTCTTTCTTTTTTCTTTTTTTTTGAGACAGTGTCTTTCTCTGTTACCCAGATGCAGTGCAGTGGCCTTACTATAGCTTATGGTAGTCTCGAACTCCTGGGCTCAAGTGATCTTCCCACCTCTGCCTCCAGAGTAGCTGGGACTACGTGCATGTGCCACCAGATCTAGCTAATTTTTCTTTTATTGTTTTTGTAGAGACAGGGTCTTGCTATGTTGCCTAGGCTGACCTTGAACTGCTGGACTAAAGCAATCCTCCTGCCTCAGCCTCTCAAAGTATTTGGATTACAGGTGTTAGATACTGCATCCAGCCAGTTTTATTCATTTTAAATTAAAAGGAGAAGCCAGGCGCTGTGGTTCACACCTGTAATCCCAGCACACTGGGAGGCTGAGGAGGGCAGATCGCCTAAGGTCAAGAGTTTGAGACCAGCCTGGCCAACGTAGTGAAACCCTGTCTCTACTAAAAATACAAACATTAGCTGGGTGTGGTGGTGCGCACCTGTAGTCCCAGCAATTTGGGAGGCTGAGGCAGGAGAATTGCTTGAACCTGGGAGGCGGAGGTTGCAGGGAGCTGAGATTGCCCCACCTCACTCCAGCCTGGGTGACAGAGTGAGACTCCATTAAAAAAAAAAAATGAAAAGGAGAGAAGATAACATTGTTGCTCTATAATTCAATACAATTGAAGGGATATAATGGCCTGGATAAGACTATAAGAATGAAATTATAAAAAAAAAAAAAAAAAAGGATTTTAGAATAAGCACATTAGAAAAAAACTTCCTGACTCTAAGGACCTAAAACATGATTGTACTATGTAGGCAGCTGGTTCAATTTTTTAAATGATTGTGTTAAAGTTATGATAGACAACCACCTAAGACACCCTATGTTATCATCCTCAATGGTCCACAAAAATTGTTTTCTTTTTATTTCTGCATTACTTGAATGAAATGAAGTAATGAGATGTACCAGGGCTTAGGTTAGAAGTATAAATACATTTCTGGTGAATTAGTGTAAGATATCTGTAAAATATGATGGGTTATTCTTTTTTCTTTATTATTTAAAACCTCAGAATTTAAGTAAAATGGCAAGAATTTAAAGTTCATTTTGCTATCTCTAAATTTGTTATCTCATGATAACAAACATGTTAGATTCCCAACAGAAAGAGCATTCTGGAAAAAGGGAGAGAAACATACAAAAAAAAAAAAAAAATCTAGATAGTACAATGAAACGCAAAGGTAAAAGGAGAGCAGGATAATATTGTTTTCTCTGTTAACATTTCAGAAACTAAAGATCAACAGTATTTTAACCCACTGTCCCATTATCTATTATTGTATTAAAAAGTACTTGACAAAAGTTTACAACAAAAATGCTGTTAGGTATGAAATTAGGAGAACTACAGAGGTTTAATGACTCTGACAGATACACTGATATATGTATATCAAGTGAATGAAAATATTAAGCCAAAAAATGAATGAGAGATAAGATATTTAAGTGAGGTGGGTACCCAGCACAACAGATATAATTGAACATAATACTTCACTTATATTTTAAAAAATATAATGGTAATTGCAAAAACAAAGGCTGAACTATAAATCTCTTGTGTCCTTTAGGATATATAATTCCTTTGCTATGCCATATAATAATGGGGCATACTGTGTGGCATAAGATTAAAAAAAAGAACCTTGTAGCTGTACAATAAATAGTTTTATTCCTACGAGAACATCCAAAATATTTAATCTGGTATTCTAAGTAAAATCCATGTTCAAATTTCATTTTTATCATATATTTCTAAGATATTTAAAAATAACAACTTAAATGAAATTATGACCGCAATTTGTAAATGTCTGCACTCTAATTATTTTTACAGATGAGCTACACTACTTTACTTACTACCAAGGCTAATTATAAGGTAGTATACAATATTCTGTTCCTTAGAGTCTATTTCTATATGCTGTCTCAAATTAGTTGTTTATTTGAAAACACGTTAAAAAAAAGATAAAAACTTTCTTTAAAAATGTAACATTTATTTCAATGTCAGAACATTATTTTTGACTTAGGAATAATATTTTTTGAAGTAGTGCCTTATAGGCGTATTTCTCTGGCTTCTAGAACTCATCTGAAGTTTCTGAGACAGATATATATACTAAGTAATTTAGCAAACAGTACAATTAATTTAAAGATAAGAAAACTCATTATATTTTAGTTGCAATAAAATTGTAAGTATATTTCTATAATAACGTATTGGTATATTTTAATTTAAAAAGTTTTGGTATTCACCATAGGAATGTCTACCTGAACCCTGTTTAATCTTTATAAAAGTCATTAATTATAGAATCTCTGGTTCAGAAAGCCAAACCAGCTCCAGTTTGGTGTCTATCAATTTCTGTGAAAAAAAAATTGTTTTTTGAAAATAGTGTTTTCATCATCGAATAAACAACTAAGAAAACAAATGTTTTACTCTATTCCTATACTAGCTTACTTATTAAGGATTCTTAAGGTATATCTGTGTGTGTGTGTGTGTGTGTGTGTGTGTGTGTATTCCTTTTGCTATTACCTTTGCTTTTGGGATTCTATAAAATTTCTTACTCTCAGAAGATGTGTCATCATCATCCTGCAAGAAGAGCAGCTCTGCACACTGTACCATTGGAACTGTTATGACATGCCTGTTTCCATAGTTACCACAGCAAGTGGGGATAGGTGTCTGTCAGGGACCAATTTACCTCTCCAGACAAGCACTGGCACCAAAGGAAAGACACAGTACCCATAAATCTTAGGTAGGGCCAAAAATGGAGCAACACTGAGCAAAATAAAATTGTATTAAATACTAAAGGCCGTCACAAAAATTATGACATACATGAAAAGTCACCTATAAATAAATGACTGTACTTTATCATACACACATAAGTATTTCCAATCTGCAATTAAACTGGCAATCAAAACAAAATGAAAAATAATTTATTTTGCCATGGAAAACCTGTTAAATATAATAATAAAGTTTACAAGAATATTTAAAAATCCATGAGTTGAGCACAAATGTAGCTGATAGTGCCAAAAATAAGACTTTCAGCTTCTCTGTCTTCTTCAATAAAAATAATGGTGCTTTAGAAATACTTCTGCTAAAATAATACAAATGTAATGCAAATCATTTAGTAGCAAAAGCAATTAAAATCACTGTGGAAGAATTTTGAAAGGCATGATATGTAGAAATAAAATCTTCCTCACTTTGTTTAAGCTAAACTAACCAGAACATCTTTATTAGTGGAAATTTGGAGGAAGTTTTAAAAATTAGAGCTACAGAGAAATCGTTGTTATAAAATATTTAATATGGCAAATAAAAATGTATTTTTAATTCAATAAAACAAAGTATAATACAATAAAATCTTAACATAATTCTTACTCATAAGGTAATTTGAAATAAGGCCTGAATGTCAGAAACAGGAACAATTTAAATAGAAAAGTACAAGCCTTGCAGATTTAAAAGTAATTCTCAAAATGCAGCTACTTAATCCCAAATGCTACAAATGCATATTTAAAAATGATGTTGATAAAGTATGTGTATGTCTTATGTGCCTCCACTGAGAACTTAGCTGAAACTCTAAATACACAGTAACAGTCAAACTAAGGCTGCTTGTGCTCTGCTTATGTACATGTTCTGTGCTTGAAAACAGCTTGTTCACTGTTTATTATTCTAAAACTTCTGGGTTCCCGCCCCCCCCCCCAGAGAATTTGAAAACAACATTATATAAATAATTATAAAAGACTTTGAAGCTATTTAATACCTGAGGATTGGATCCATCAAATCCTTCCTCATAAATGATGTTCTGGATAAACTGAAGCAGCTTTGTGTAGCCAGGGGTCAAAGAACTGTTGGTAAAAGAAGTGGTTCAAATACATAAATGGGTTATTACATAAGAAGTACACAATCTATGATAAAACATTAAGTAAATAATTAAAAGGCATACATTTATTAGATTACTTAAGAATGTCAAAACAGTATTATATAATCCTAAAATATAAAGTCAATACATACAGGGAATAAGTTACAATGCCTTATTATAACTTGCTCAGTGTTCCTGACATCATAGGAAGATAAAAACCTGTGGAGACTAAGATAACTTAATTATGTCAGGCTTAGTTACCTCCAAGAAAATTAATGATTTAATGCAGCAACCTAAAAGATGAAGCCACTATAGATTTTCAGGAGTAATCATACATAATTAACACATAGTTAATGAACTGCTATGCCAAGTACACCTGAATCCATGTCCTGATCACCTGAGCTCATCTTCCATCAAAGTTAATTTTCTTAGAACAAACTTCTAAAATAATAATAATTTTAAAGCTTGATTTTTTAAGACACACGAAGAAAAGTGAGTATGATTTTCACTTCCCTTGTTAAAAGAAGACAATAAATGGATGAATTTAAGAAGAAAACCAAATTTATTTCTCATATAAATAATAACATTAATGTTATTGTTTTAAAATATTTTACAAATGCTATGAAATATCCCAAAGAATCTTCAGTAAGCATGAGGAAAATCTGCTTTACATTATCTGAAGTTAAGATTCTGCATAATGGACAATCTGTGTGCTATGACTGAACATTAATGTCATGATAATGTCATGAGCATAGCAATCCCATAGACATTGAAGTGCCTAATGCTGTAAAAGCTGTGGGTGACCTTAAAATTATGCAAGTATTTGCTTTACTGTGATCCTAAGTAAGCAATCACATAGGCAGAAGAAATATCCAAAGAAAGAATGAAATCTAATTTGAAGCATGAATGCAGCAGTAAAGAATATAAAATGTTAGGAAACATAGCAGACTGCTTAGTGTGCAAAATCAATGGTAGGTGGTTCAGGAAACATAGAGGTACATCTCTGTAAACATGTAGTTGAACAGCCACAATAAACCAAAAGTGTCTATCTTGCAAAAACAAAACAAACAAAAAGAATGCTGTTGTGTACAAAACAAATACAGCTCCAGATAATGAAAAATTTGGTACTTTGGCTATTTCTCATACAGTTATTTCTCCATTTTCAGTGAAAATTCTGTAGATTACATAGACACTTTTTTTCATGAGTGTGGAAACGTGTGCAAAAATAATATTCTGTAAGGGCAATTTTGTGACTATTTCATATCTTAACACACATCTATCCCTGCTAGATCAACTTTTCAGAACATAGTGCAGTAGATTCAATTCTAATCTGGATCAATCTGCTTTGCACAAGTGGTAAAAGCTGCAAGCTTTCAGATTATGAAATGAATTCCAGCCAACGATCTGATGAATGTCACTATGGGTTATAGGAGAGTGGATAAAAAATATAGCCAATGCATTCTAATCCACTAATAATAATTCTACCCCAAACCCTTATTATTTCATATAATAATAACAGGGGATCATGCAATATTCATCTTTCTGTGTTGGGCTTATTTCATTTGCCATAATGTCCTTCAGTTTCACCCATGTTGTCACAAATGACAAGATTTCTGTTTGAAGGTTAAAAGTTCATTGTGTGTGTGTACACCACATTTTCTTTATTCATTCATCCCTTGATGAACACTTATGTTGATTCCATATGTTGATTATTGTGAATAACGGTATAGTAAACATGGGAGTGTAAATATGTTTTCAACATACTGATTTTATTTCCTTTAGATATACAGTCATGCACTGCATAGGGACGTTTTGGTCAATGATGGACCACGTATACAACAATTGCCCCATAAGATTGTAATAGAATTGAAAAATTCCCATCATCTAGTGATGTTGTAGCCATATTACTCACGTTTATGGTGATGCTTGTGTAAACAAACTGTCCTAAAAAGTACAGCACATATAATTATGTATTGTACATAATAATAATAAATGATTACTTTACTGGCTTATGTACTTACTATACTATTTATTGTTAGAGTATACTTCTTTTATTTATTGGAAAAAAAAAAAGCTAACAATAAGATAGACTCAGGTGACCAGGTCCTTCAGGAGGTAGTCCAGAAGAAGGCATTCTTATCACGAGATGACAACTATATGTGTGTTACTGTCCCTGAAGACCTTCCAGTGGGAAAAGATGTGGAGGTAGAAGACAGTGATATTGATAATCATGACCCCACACAGGCCTAGAGTAATGTGTGTGCTTGTGTCTTAGTTTTTAACAAAAATTTTAAAAGTAAAAAAATTAAAAATAGCATATAGAATAAGAATATAAAGAAACAATATTTTAGTAGAATTGTGTGAAGTGTGTTTTAAGCTGTTATTACAAGAGTCAAAAATGTTTTTAAAATGTAGAAGTTTATAAATTAAAAATGTTACAGAAGCTAAGGTGAATTTCTTATTGAAGAAAGGAAAATATTTTTAGTAAATTTAGTGTAGCGTTAAGTGTACAGTTATAAAGTCTACAGTAGTATCCAGTAGTATGTTAGGCTTTCACATTCACTTACCACCCCTTTACTGACTCACCCAGAGCAACTTCCAGTCCTGTAAGCTCCATTCTCGGTAAGTGTCTTATACAGGTGTACCCCTTTTTATCTTTTAGACTATTATTTACTGAACCTTTTCTGTGTTTAGAAACACAAATACTTGTATTACAATTGCCTATTCAGTCCAGTAACATGCTGCACAAGTTTATAGGCTAGGCCCAAGAGACTACTATAGAGCCTAGGTATGTAGACTGTACCACGTAGATTTGTGTAATTACACTCGATGAAATTGTCCAATAATGTATTTCTCAGAATGTATTTCCATTCATAAGTGTCAAATGACTGAATGTTCAGAATTGGGGTTGTTGGATATGGTGGTTCTCTTTCTGATTTTTAAAGGAACCTCTATACTGTTTTCTACAATGGCTGTTCTAATTTATATTTCCACCAACAGTATACAAGGGTTCCTTTTTGTCCATATCATCTCCAACACTTTTGTCTTTTTGATAACAGTCATTCTAACAGGTGTGAGGTGAAACCTCATTGTCTTTTTAATGTACATTTCCCTGATGATGAATAATGTTGAGCACTTTTTCATATATGTGTTGGCCATCTGTATGGCTTCTTTTGAGAAATGTCTATTTTGGTCCTTATCCAATTTTTTAATTGAGTTATTTGTTTTCATGCTATTGTGTTGTTTGAGTTCCTTAATATTTTGAATATGAACCCTTTTATTAGACATATGGTTTGCAAATATTTACCCCCATTCCATAGGTTTTTTTTTTACTCTGTTGATTGTTACCATTTTTGCACAGAATAGGGGGGTTCTTTGATATGAGAATAAAAAGGAAGATGCAAAGCCAATACTTCTTAATTTCTTATTTAACCCTGACATAAAACAAGTCAATCATCAACAATGCTTAAAATTTTATAAGTAATAAAATAAATTCCTCTAATTAGATTTCTAGAAAAATAAACTATTTGGTAACAAAATAAAATGCAATAAATCAATACATTTAGGTATTATCAATTGTGAATATTAATTTTTGAATATATGGGATTAAATCACTTAAAACTGAAATCATTTACATGATATTGATAATAAAATACTAAGTACTGTTAATCTCCATGTTTCTTTGCCAGCAATGTTTCTAGTTTTATATATATATATATATATATATATATATATATATATTTGCTGAAAATAAATATCTTCTATTGTCATCTAAAATTTTGGTTTGTTACTAAAATCCTTTACTTTTGAGGATGCTTACTCTTGTGTGTGTGTTTAGTAGTGTAGGCACTGATAAAACAGGAGTTGGCAAGAAGTAAACCCAGTTAAAAATATGATCCTGGCTTCTTTATTAATGTTTCCAAACATTCAACAAAGATTACGTTATCAAATTATTTAAAACATCCTTCAAAAGTGGCACATTTCTAATCATTCTGTGATCACATTATATGAATTTGTATACTATTTTGCCTGAATTTCATATATTTTCAACAACTTTTATATTATAATGATCTATTTTGAGATTCTACAATGTGCCTTTAAAACTATTAGCTATACAAAGAACATAAAGACAATTACTAGAACTTTACTTTTTACCTTTAAAATATCAAGCATTTAATATTTTCTTTAGTTAAAAAAGTAAAATTGTTCCATGTGCATTATTCATGCTTTTCTGCTAATATTATCATGTTGTTTAGTAAGAATTTATTTCTTTATACTAATATATAAACATGGATAAAAGGGGCCAAATGACACAAATGTAAACCTGTTTTCTGACGACCAAGTTTCATATTTTTTAGAGATGATAGAAAAAAATTAAACTCATGCTTATCAATATTCTATCCCCATCTCTAATTTTCCTCAAGAGGTGTAAAGCACATTTGCATCAGATAATTTTAATTCCTATCAACAAACTGCATTGGTTTTGCTGTGAAAAGTAGTGTTGCCATTCAATCTTATTAAGAAAGATAAAAAAATTAGCTGTAAAAAAAAGAATCAGATGTAGTATTATACAAAAGAAGATGTAGTATTCTACAAAAGAAATCAAGTACAGGTAGATGATAAATAACAGACAAAAACTACAGTTTTGGAAACAATAAACAAAGGAACACTTAGCAAAAGTCCTCAAAGAAACACTTAAAAATCTTTTAATAATTAAGAAAAAAGAAAAAAAGTCACTTCAACTGAGGGGTTTAATACAAAAATATTTAAATATGAGTAAAGAACAATATACAACACTGCCACCACCAACAAAAAACCCTGGGTAACAGGAGACAATATTTTATCAGTGAAAAGGTTAAGTTACAAAAATAAGATCATGCACATGTGATTTTAAAATAACTTGTTGATAAGTGAAAAATCTATACATAGATAACAGGCTCTTAGGTTGATTTTCAATAAGACTACCTGATTTTAATTATATCAACTGATAAAGTGTTTGGTACATAGTAAATAATCAAAACACTTTTGTATCACAGTCACCACATTCGATGAATAGAATAACCTTGTGAGGTTAAGTATAGTCATTCTCCCCATTTTATGGTTGAGATTTTAAGACCATTCTGAGGCTAAATAATTTGCCCAAGGCTGTGCGACAATTAAGGGACACAAACGGCACTTAAAACTCAAACTTTCAAGAACTCAAATTACCTGCTCTTTTGGCTATACTAAGATAAAGCCCCACAGTGAGATCTAGATTCAATGAAAAGCCTGTGGTAATGTGGTCCAGAGGAGGTCTGAACATGGCTCCATTCAACATAGCCAAATGAAGCATTCAGGTGCATAGTTTTAGGAAGAGATTTCTCTTTTAGTTGCACTGATGGAGGCCTCCACCAAGGCCTTACTTACAATGTACTTGGTACACGATGTATAAAGAAAACTCAATACTGTGAAGTGTATGCTTACAAATATATAAACTAGATATGAGTATTGTATAGTTGGAATGTAGGTTTAAGATCTGGGTTCTAGTTCTACCTGTGTCAACATGTACATGTGTGGTATGAGGTAAATTGTTTAAATTTTCTGTTCTGGTCTTCGAAATTTTCTCATCTGTAAAGCCAGGGATTGCATTAGATAATCTATGTTGTCCATTCTGACTTTGAAATCATATGGTTTCAAATATGGTTTTTCTCATTAAAATCAGTCATTGCTTGGCTTTTAAAAATAAGAACTTCTGATATATTTAAGTATTGATTTAACTACTTGATATAAACATTTAGGACGAGAAGCTGTTATCACTCCCAATTAGGATTAATTTAAAGTGAAGATGAAGCATTTTTGACATTATTATGCAAATAAATGAGAAAGTATGATTTGTATTACCAAAATTCTATTTACACATATATTTTAGGTATTCATCTATGACAAATAGTGAGATACCCTTGTAAGGCAGTAGGCAAAATATCAAGTGTCTCAACTAATTGTATAAAATAGTTTGCTGAGTTAAAGTTATATTAGCATATAATTTGCATGTGACTATAGAGACCGTGAAGTTTATTCACAAGTAATTTTCAAGTTAAAAATTTCATTACTGTTACCCTGAAGGCTGTCATTTACTGATTTTTCTCCTCTGATGATTTTCAGCTAAGAATACTGAGTTTGATTATCTTCACCATGGATGTTCAACTAAGAACATATAAAGTGTAGGAATGTATTAAGGGCACCAAGAAGAACAATGACCAGCAGAAACCTCTGAGCCACAGCTAGGAAAATACTAAGAACTATGAGGATGCACAAATTACATGTATGGTCTAAGCAATGCAGGTTCTGACAGGGATACTATTAAGAGGGGTTATGATCCTTCATGAAAAATAACTCAGCTTGACATCACTCTGACTTCCTTTAATTACTGATGTAAACAAGGTTTTAGACTATGTCTCCTACTACCCTTCACTGTTGCTGTCATCTACCCAACTCTGGGTCATGACTCACCTTTCTAACACTCTGGCCTTTCAGTATTTTGATCTCTCTTCCAACAATCTTATCTCCATTCTATTTAAGTTGATCATCCCCATGGTTGTTTTTTAGACCATGTAATTATCAATAACTGCCATACCTCTATAATCTCAATTTCATGCACACCCCTCTACATAACCACTACTTTCTTTCCACCTAGTACCCATAGGCAATCATTTGACCCTGCTGAGATCTCTATATCATTGTCTACCACACCTTTCACTCACCTGCTTTGATAAGCTCTTTCAATTAATTAACCATCTCAATCCATGGTCAATCCTTATCCTCACTTCCTTGCTCTTCTCTTGCTTTGTCACACTTACTGCTATTCTTGTTAAACACAACTCTCTGTCTATTCCACACTTGCCTCAATGTAGCTAAAAATGGCCAGAGAAACAGACTGGTATGACTTTAACTTCATGACCACAAACCTCAATAAGCCCTTAAGGCTATTCCCACTATACATATCCTCACTCTCCTAGATGACAATGTCATACTTTCTCTTTTTCTTTTTTTGTTGAAACCTCCAATATCTCTTCCTCCATCTTCATTATCAGTTTATAACCTTTCAATGAGAAAACAGAAGCAGCCAGAAGGGACACCTAGCACACATTTTCTACCTGCTATGGTTTGAATGCTCATGTCCCCACAACACTTGTATGTTGAGCTCTAATATGCAACAGTATTAAAAGGTGAGAATTTGAGAACACATGGACACAAGAAGGAAAACAACACACACTGGGGCCTTTTGGAAGGTGAAAGGTGGGAAGAGGGAGAGGATCAGGAAAAATAACTAATGGGTACTAGGCATAATATCTGAGTAATGACATAATCTATACAACAAACCCCCATGACACAAGTTTGCTTATGTAACAAACCTGCACTTACACCCCTGAATTTAAAAGTTGAAAAAAAAAAACAATAAAAAACAGAGGTGAAAATTTTGGGAGGTGATTAGGTCATGAGGGTGGAGCACTCATAAATTAGATTAACACTGTCTTAAAAGAGGTCCATGGGAACCTGTATTCCTCTTCTGCCATGCCCGAGGTTACACAGAGAAGACACCTATCTATGAAGAAAGTGGGCCCTCACCAGAATCTGACTATGCTGGCACCCTTATCTTGGAACTTCACAGCCTCCAGAACCATAAGAAATACATTTCTGTTATTTATAAGCTGCTGTTTATGGTATTTTTGTTATAGTAGCCTGAACAGACTAAGACACCACATTCTCAGCACGTGTAGCCAAATATATACTCTGTCTTCTCACAGGCTGCCATATGTGAACTAACTAAACTCCTATACCAACCCAGTACCTCCACCTGTGCACGGGCCTCATACCATAAAATATCACTTGGGCAATTCTCTCCTCTCTCCTTCATTATTAACTTCTCCTTTTCTACTGATTGTTTCCTATAATATATAAACATATCGTTATCTCTCCCTTGAAAAAATAAAACCACCACTTGTCCCATCTCATTTACCAGCTACTACTCTATTTTTCTGCACCAAACCCCTTAAATTTTCTAAAATTCAGTGCCTCCAATCCTCTCCTTACATTTTCACTTAAATCCATTCCAAGTAGTATGTGACCACCCCCATCCCATCCATTAAAACTGCTTTTATTATGGTGACTGATGACCTCCAATGGCTAAATTCAATTGGTCTGTTTTCTTTTTTTTGGTAACAACTTTATTGAGATAGAATTCAGGTACCATACAATTCACCCACTGAAAGTGTACAGTTCAATAGTTCTAGTATATTGACAGCTATTTAAGTATTACCATAATTTTAGAATATTTTCATTCCTTCAAAAAGGAATCTCATACCTGTTTTATCAACTCCCTCCAATTCTCCTAGCCCTAAGGAACCATTAATGTACTTTCTGCCTCTCTATATTTCATATTATTATTTCACACAAACGAAATCATGTAATATGTTGTCTTTTATGAAGGGTACTATGGTTTGAATGTCGGTCCCCTTTAAAACTCATGTTGAAATTTAGTTGCCATTGTTACCGTATTAAGTGGTGGGACCTTTGAAAGGTGATTTGGCCATAAGGGCTCCACCATCATGGGCAGGATTGGTGCCAGTACAAAAGGGTGAGTTCAGTCCTTTCTCACTCTCCTGGTTCTTCCATTCTTTTGCCATGTGAGGAACAGGGTTCCTCCCCTCTGGAAAGTGCAGTGTTCAAACTACCGTGTTGGAAGTGGAGACTCGGTCCTTAACCGACACCAAACATGCTGGCAACTTGACCTTGGGCTTTCAAACTTTCAGAACTATGAGAAATAAATTTCTATTGTTTATACATTACTTAGTCTACGGTATTGTGTTATAGCAGCACAAAACAGACTAAGACAATTGTTTTCTCTCACTTACTATAATGTTTAAAGGATTCATCTGAGCTGTACCCTGTATCAGTACTTCATTCCTTTTTATGGTGAAATAAATATTACATTGTATGGATATAACATTTTTTATCCACTCATCAGTTGAGGGACATCTGGGTTGTTTCCACTTGTGAGCTATTATGAATAATGCTGTTATGAACATTTATGTACAGGTTTTTGTACATAAATGTACCAAAAAAAGGTTCTGTTTTAATCCTCTTGGGGATATACCTAGGAGTAGAATTTCTGGGTCAAATGGTAACTTTAACTTTTTGAGAAACGCCAGAGTGTACCAGTCCAAAAGACTACTATTTTATGTTCTCATCAGCTATGTATGATGGTTTTGATTTCTTCACATCCTTGTCAACACTTGTTATTATCTGATTCTTTAATTCTAGCTATCCTAGAGGATGTGAAGTGGTATCTCATTTTGTTTTTGCTTTTGGGGTGTTTTTTTTTTTTTTAACTTTTTTTTGGCTTGGAATATCTTTATTTGTCATTTTACTTTGAGTATTTCTTTGTTTGGTTTTGATTTATCTTCTATTAACAGAATATGCTGATTTTCAAATCCAATCTGTTTTTCCCCATTTTTCTTTTTAATTGTGGTTAAAAAACCCATATAACATAAAATTTACTATCTTAACCACTTTTGAGTATATATGTTGCACAACTTAACATTAAGTTAAACAGATCTCCAGAACTTTTTTATCTTGTAAAACTGAAACTGCTTATCCATGAAACAAGAAACAACAACTCCTCACTTCCCTCTTTCCCTCAACCCCTGGTAACTACCATTCCATTTTTGGTTTCTGTGAAATTTGACTACTTTAGATATCTCATATGAGTAGAATCATATTTATCTTTTTGTAACTGATTTCACTTAGTACAATGTCAAGGTTCACTCATGTTGTAATATGTATTTTTACATATGTATTTATATATGAAATATGTATTTCCATCATTTTTAAGGCTAAATAACATTTCATTATATGGTATATTTTATTTATCAGTTCATCAGTTGGTGGACATTTGCACTACTATCACCTCTTGCCAACTGCAAATAATGCTGCTATGAACATGGGTGTCCAAATATCTCTTCAAATCCCTGCTTTCCATTTTTTTGGACATATACCTAGAAGTGGGATTGTTGGATCATACGGTTTTGAGAAACTGCCATGCTGTTTTCCATAGCAGTTACACATTTTACAACCCAAATAGTGCACAAGGGTTCCAATTTCTCCACATCCTAACCAACACTTGATCTTTTCTGTTCTTTTTTACTTTTTCCTTTCCTATTTTTCATTTTTATCCTAACAGATGTGAGGGGGTATCTTGTGGTTTTGACTTGTATTTGTCTAATGGTTAGTGATAGCACTTATTGATATGCTTGTTAGCCTTCTGTATATCATCTTTGGAGAAATGTCTATTCAAGTCCTTTGCCTATTTTATAAAGTCAGGTTATTTGTTTTTATGTTGTCAAGTCGTAGGAGTTCTTTATTCTGGATATTGGCCTCTTATGAGATATATAATTTGCAAATATTTTTTACCATTTCTTACGTTGCCTTTTCACTGTTGATTAAGTCCTTTCATGCACAAAAGTTTAAGTTTGATGTCATCCTATTTGTCTATTTTTGCTTTTATTGTTTGTGCTTTTGGTGTCATATCCAAGAAATAATGGCCGAATCCAAGATTATGAAATGTTTCCCCTATGTTTTCTTCCAGGATTTTAATAGTTTTGAATCTTATGTTTAGGTCTTTAATCCATTTTAATTTTTGCATATGATGTAAGACAGGGATCTATCTTCATTTTTATTTTTATTTTTTTGCATGTAGATACCCAGTCTTCCCATTTGTTAAACAGTCCTTGTGAGTGACCTTGGTACCCTGTTGAAGATTATTTGACCATATATACCAAAATTTATTTTTGGGCTATCTATTCTATTGGTTTGTGTATCTGTCCTTATACGCAATTTTTACTTTATACCACAATGTTTTAATTACTGTAGCTATGTAACATGTTCTGAAATTAGGAAGTATAAAACTTCCAACTTTGGTCTTTTTCAAGAGTAGTTTGGCTGTCTGGGGTCCCTTGAGTTTTAGTCCCTGTGTAACTTTAAGTAAACTAAATCTGTTGTTTCTATTTCCTTCTTTTCAAACTGGGGATACTACTAATGTCATAGGATTTTTGAAGAATTAAATGAGATAACAAATGTAATATGAAAAAATAAAAATAGTACTTGACAGAAAAATCAGTTCTCATTAACTTAGTTATGATCAATCCCCATGAAGTCAATATAATATAGTAACACTCCAGTTGCAGGATGGAAGGTGATTGGGTGGGATGACTAGATGGAACAAGGTATGCAATTAAAGAGGTATGAAGGGATGGGACTAATACAAAATTACCACTTGCTCAGTGAGTAGCAATAAGGACAATATGTTATCAAATCTTTTAACTCACATTGAAAAGTGAGCTAAGTTGTGTGTGAGAAACATGAAATATAGCCACTGTTCATTTAGGGGCCTACATCTAAGGAGAATTGATCTCCAAATAAACTTTTCTTAAATGAAAAAGTGGGATAGGGGAAAAAAAAAAGCTGATTGTGTTCAGATGAAAAATATTTGCCCAAGTAGTTACATTTTTTTCGAAGTAAAAATAACTTTATTGATTTATCTTCTAATAAAAATACGTTTCTTATAATAAATTTCAAAATATAAACAGAAATAATAACAATTATGATGGCTAAAATTCATTAACCCTTTACTATGCCAGCTACTGTATGCTAAGTGCTATCTCTTTGGTTCTGGTTTACATTTCTTTTGATGTAGTGACATTTATTGGTCATTTCTGTATCTTTTTCTGAGAACATCCTCTTAACGTTAACCTTTTGCCTGTTTTGAAGTAGGGTATTCAATTTTTTCTTACCCATTTAAACATAACCATAATTTAATGAAATATATGCATGTATGTAATTTTTGAAATTTTGAAACCATCTCAAACTTACATAAAAGTTGCAAATATAGAACAAAAAATCTTTTTTTTCCCATTCCACTTGAGAGTAAGTTGCTGACCTGATGACTTATCACTTCTTAATAATTTAGGATATGATTCCTACAAACAAGGACATTCTTCTAGAGGAGAACAATACAACCATCTGACCTGGCATACTGGTAAAAGGAGGAAACTGAGACTACCATCTAATCCTCACACTCCATTCAAGTTTCAGCAGTTGTTCCAATATCATCCTATACAGCAAAACGAAATAGCTTAGAATCACCTGTTGTATTCAGTTGTCATTTGTTCTCTTCAGTCTCCTTCAATATGGAAGTTCGTTAGATTTACCTTAACTTTCATGATCTTGACACTTTTGAGGATTATAGTCCAGATGTTTGGTAGAATGTTTCCAATTTGGATTTGTGTGATGCTTCTTCGTGATTACATTTGAATTATTAATTTTTGGTGGAAATATCACAGAAATATTGCTGAGTTCTCATTGCGTATTATCTGGTGATACATGCTTTTGATCATCCCCACTACTGGTGATGTTAACTTGATTAAGGCAATTCTTCTAGTCTTCTCCACTGTAAAATTATTCTTTTCCCCTTTGTAGTTAATAAGTATTTTGTGGGATGGTACTTTCTGGCTATGTAAGTTATCTTATACCTCAAAAAACTTTCAATTTATTCATTTATTTATTTATATCAGTATGTACTTATAGCTTCCTATTTTATTAAATCCATTGCTATCATTATTTATTTTGATGCTCAAATTGGCCAACATGCCCAGTGAGAACTCCTTTGGGCTGGCTTCTGTGTCCTTTTGATATGCCATCATCATTCTTTAAGAACTTCTACACATAAAAAGATGTTCCAGGCATATCTTTTCCCTTCTCTTCCATCAACCATTTCTCCAAAGAGTCCCAGTGCCTTTGAATGGAGAATGGCATTTAGATCTGAGCATGAGATATACTCATTGCTATTTCTCAACTCCAAGAATTTAAGACATTCATTCATATTTTCTGCGATTATTTTAATAATTTCATTTATTATATTTATCTCTTTAACTCTATGGAAATATAATATGATGTGAGATATAAGGTAAGAATTTACTATTTTATTACCAAATGATTAGGCCCATAATTTGAAATCCCTTCCCTTGTTATAAAAATGACTCAAGTGTTCAGGCCAGGCACGGTGGCTCATGCCTGTAATCCCAGAACTTTGGGAGGCCAAGGCAAACAGGTCACTTGAGGTCAGGAGTTCTAGACCAGCCTGGCCAACATGGTGAAACCCCATCTCTATTAAAAATACAAAAAAATTAGCCAGGTGTGGTGGTGTGCGCCTGTAATCCCAGCTACTCAGGAGGCCGAGGCAGGAGAATTGCTTGAACCCAGGAGGTAGAGGCTGCAGTGAGCCGAGATCACACCACTGCACTAGGCAACAGAGCAAGACTCCATCTCAAAAAAAAAAAAAAAAAGACTCTTGTTCATCATAAAAATTCAAACGTATAAAACATACAAAGAATAATAATAAAAAAAAACTTATCCGGAATCCACCACCCAGAGGCAAATATTGTTAACAGTTTGGTGAATATCCTGTAAGACATCTCTCTATACCAGTCCTGTTTCTTACTGAGAAAAACGATTGCAGGATATTAAGAAGTATGCTGATAAAAATGTTTTTGATTCTAAAAAGAAGAGTTTTACCAATAAACAAATGTAAAGAGGATTATTATTACTATGTATTTCAATAATGTTTGGCATTTCCCTCACAGCCTTTCAAATACTAATGTATACTGTGAATCTCTTAGATAATCTAGGAAGGGGATTTAGTTTGCAGTCTTTCATGAGCTTATTTGACTGCATATCACTAGGTTTTTGGAAGCTAAATTAACATCTCCTGAATTAGTGTTAGAAAAGAATTTGGGATAAGCTATACAAAATTTTATGTAAATAGGATTCTGCTATTTATCCTATTTCTATAATCTGCTTTTTCACTCCATTATATCATGGATGCAAAGCCCAGTAACCACCCCTGATCTCTTATACAGAAAAAACTTCTGCAGAGCCACCTCTCTACAGCCATTGCTGCAGTTTTTACAGCTTCCATTAGCCTTAGACCCTAATAAAAGCCACAGTGCCCACCACCCTCCAAAGCACGACGGAATTTCCCTCGAAAGGTGGTAGACACTTGAGCCTAACCAAATAAAGCTGCAGCTTAGAATCTTTTCCTCAATATTTGGGACATTTGGTTGGTATTCTCTTTGTTTTCCAGTATCACTTTCAAATCACTCCTCCTCCACTTCCTAGGAAAATGAAACTAACAAACAAATCCATGCTTCTTTTACATATAGCTAACCCCCAGCCATTCTCCTTTTAAGTTGCTGTCTTTATCAAGCTCCTGGACATTTTCCTTACTGTTAACTGAAGACTCTGCACCTGGCTTACAGTCCTAATTCAAACATCTTATTCTCACCCAATATTACTTATTTTAGTAGCTTGCTTTCTTCATTTACCTCCACTATTAAGATTAGTAAATCTACTACCAGTGTACTGCCCCTTCTCTTTCTCCTTATATACATATGTATCAACAGCAATTGTCTTCAGTTGTTTTTCTTCAGCCTAAAGTTCATGATCCAACATTTTGTTCACTGTTTTTAATCGTTTAAACTTCTTTGTTCTTTGTCCTACTCACTCCACCTTGCAAAATTTCAACCCAGGAATCTTAGCACAGAAGCAAGAAAGTCACACAATCTGATAGACTGGCACCACTCCAACCATTTGAGATTTCTGTAGTCAGTGTATTCTTCCGGTCTATGAAATAACCCTTTTTAAGTTTCTCGATTCAACCCAAACTCCCAAGAGGTAAGTAACCACTCCCTAGTGGATAGCTATGCCTATTATTTCACTAAGAGAAGTCATCAGTACATATCTTCAGAAACTGCTGCTTTCTTTTCTACATCTTCATCCATTCCCTCTTTATTAATTTTTTTTGCATTGACATTTAAATAAATTAAATAAAACAGAGCAAAAAAAATCTTATTTCACCCCAAACCCCTTCCAGTTATTGATCTTTCTTTGCCACCTGAACTCACCTCCACATAGCTCTTTCCATCGCTCACACTATTTCAGCCACATTGGCCGTTTAAATCCTTGAAAACACCAAGTTCCTTCCTTTATTAGCACATCTGCTATTCCTTCTGACAATAATACTTCTTGGCCCAGTGCCCATTGCATGATTACCTTCTTCTCAGTTGGGTCTCAGCTAAAATGTTTCCACTTAGAAAGACTTTGAGTGAACACAACTCAAGGTATACCCACTGCCCTCTCTGCCCACTTAGCTTCTGCCATAGAAAATGTTTTTTCTTTATATTTAACTACATATATATTTGTTTGCTTGTTTAAAAAAAATTATGTGCTTTCTTATTGGACCGTAAGCTACACAATGGCAAGGTTAACGTCTGCTTTGTTCACTACAATAATCTAGAACTTAGCATAATGCTGGGCTCATAGCAGGTGCTCAAGTTCATAGACGGTGTTGAGATTTGGAAAAAGCTTTCAATAAATATTATCGGACATATGATTATGTTTACTTACTTCAGTAGATTGGACTATCCTAAGTCTAACATCAGAATCCTGGAAAACATTCTTGATATTCCCTTTCCCCTTTCCCCAACCTCAATGAGATCCAGTGAGATGAGAGAGAGAGATAGCGATCAGATTAGGTAAGGCCTTGTAGGGTCGTGGATTTACTATCCTGAATGAGTTGGGGAATCATTGGAGAGTTTGATGCAGAGTAGTGATAAGAGCCGACTCATACTGTAAAACTGGACTGCCTAACAAGATAGCCACTAATTATATATGGCTACTTAAATTAACTAAAGAAAAATAAAATTAAAATTCAGTGCCTTGGTCTTACTAGTCACATTTCATGTATTCATTCGCTGCATGTGGCTAGTGGCCACTACATTACACAGCACAGATACAGAAAATTTCCATCACTGCAGAAAATTCTACTGGACAGTACTATGTTGAAAAAGTCACTAGGGCTATGTTGAAGAAAAACAGGAGCCAACAAGGAGCAAGGACCAAAGAGCAAAGAGCAAGACCAATTACGAGGCTATCCCAACAGCTGTGGCAAGAAATGTGGGTAATGTAGGCTAGCATGTAAAGTTGAAGGTTGCAAAAGTGGTATTTGGATACATTTTGAAGACACAGTTGACAGGACATGCTAATAGATTGGATGCAGAGAGAGAGAAGAGTCAAGGGTCAAAGATTACATTATTGAAGTAAGGGCAGAAATCTGGAAGGATATACATAAACATAACTGTGGAGGAGATGACTGAGATTAGGAATGGGTGAATAAGGTGGAAAATAATAAAACAAAACCCATGCATACCAGTGAGATAGGATACCATGCATGAAATGAGGAACAAGATGATTCACTTAACTCTGTGTACCTGATGGCCTTTAAAGGACAGAAAGGAGGTAAAAACAAGGCAAACATGCAAGCAAGCAGTTTCTCTCCATTGGTCAAAATGAGGCCCAGCCACTCTCCTAAGTGAAATGTTGAAACAGATAACCAAATACTGCATGTTCTCACTTGTAAGTGGGAGTTAAACATTGGTACACATGAACATAAAGGTGGGAACAATAGACACTGGGGAATACGGAGGGGGGAAGGGAGGCAAGGGTTGAAAAACACCTATTGGGTACTATGCTCACTACCGGGGTGAAGTGATCAACAGAAACCCAAACCTCAGCATGATGCAATATACTTTTGTATCAAACCTGCAAATGTACCCTTTGAATCTAAAATAAAAGTTGAAAATAAAGTAAGTTAAAAAACAAAACAAAACAAAACAAACAAAAAATGAGGCCCAGAATAATAGTCCTCTTTCTAAATTTTCAAACATTATCTTTTTACTTTAATTGTATCACTAGCAGCTAAACAGATAGGCAGAATCTCTCTTCACACTTACATGATGCCTTTCCATCAGTTCTGAGATTTGCACTAATTTATCATTCACCATATCCTTTTAATAAAGTAATTTATAGTATACTTCTATAACTATATGACTTCCGAATTTTTAGTCTTAGATGTTCTATAGAATTTCTTTCTTGTGAGTGTAAATTTTCTGTTTTTTTAAGACAACGGTCTTGCTCTTTTGCCCAGGCTGGAGTGCAGTGGCATGATTACAGCTCACTCAAGTCTTGGCCTCTCAGTCTCAGGTGATTCTCCCACCTTAGTCTCCTGAGTAACTGGGATTACAGCATGTGCCACCACACCTGGCTATTAGT
Organism: Homo sapiens; assembly: GCF_000001405.40. Taxonomy (NCBI): domain Eukaryota; kingdom Metazoa; phylum Chordata; class Mammalia; order Primates; family Hominidae; genus Homo; species Homo sapiens. The sequence goes on along the minus strand of NC_000011.10, from coordinate 31,609,893 downwards.
ATTTTTTGTTTGTTTGTTTTTGTAGAGACAGGGTCTCACTATGTTGCCCAGGCTGGTCTTGAAATCCTGGGCTCAAGTGATTGATCCTCCTGCCGCGACCTCCCAAAGTGCTGGGATTAGAGGCATGACTCATGCTTGTAATCTTTAATCTTATATTTAGACTTTTGAATATACTGTGGATCTTTGCTTTTCAATCTAAAAGTCTTGTATTTTTGAAATAAAATGTTATCTCCCAAGGAGCCCCCTTGGGAGTACCAACCCACAGACCCCGGCCGGGCATCTCATAACCATATGACTACTTGTCTCATCGCAGGCCTTAACAAAGCAACCCATAAGGCTGCAAATTATGAAAAACTCAAAGATATCCCTCAAAGAGCTGATGAAAACCCTGCTGAATTTCTTTCCCGCCTTACAGAGGCCCTCCAAAAATATACCCATGTTGACCCCACCTCCCGGGAAAAAACTATTGTTCTTAATACCCATTTTATCTCTCAGTCTGCTCCTAACATATGGTGCAAACTTAAAAAGCCTGAAGATGGCCCTCAAACCCCACAAGACCTTCTCAACCTGGCTTTCAAAGTCTTTAATAATAGGGATGAACAAGAAAAAATAAAGCCCAACGAGATCGTGCCAAATGTCAGCTACTAGCCGCGGCTATTCGCCAACCTGGCAATAGCACCCAAGGGCACAAAAGACCCGATAGCAGCCTCCCTTCTGTGGCCTGTTTTAAATGCAGCCAAGAAGGCCACTGGGCGAGGGCATGTCCCAGCCCAAGGACACCAAAAACTCCTTGTCCAGCCTGCCAATGAAGCAGTCACTGGAAGTCTGATTGTCCTCTTAACAACCAGGCTAACAGATCAACTCCTCAAAACCTTGGCAAGGTAAGGAGTGAAAAATCGCTCACCCTACCACAGCTCCTTGGCCCTGCTGCTGAAGACTGACAGAGCCCAGGACCCTTGGCCCTATCTGCATCAGAGCCCAGGGTAACTCTGCTAATAGCAGGTAAGCCGATCTCTTTTCTAATCGATAGCAGGGCCAGCTACTCGGCTTTATCTAAATTTTTAGCACCCACTTACCCTTCCCAGGTCTCGTCTCACATCGACACGCTACTGAATCCCTTACTTGTTCCCTGTCTAATACTATATTTCTTCACACTCCTTCCTTATCATGCTTCACTGCCCCACTCCCATCGTAGGCCGAAACATTTTAGCCAAATTCAAAGCTTCTATCACCTCTTCCTGCCCACCGCAACCAGAGTCCCTCCTGCTCCTCTCTGCTAGTACGGCCCCTGACCCCCCCACCCAGCACCCGCTACCCACCTCTCTCGTTAACCCAGTAGTGTGAAACACCACCACCCCTTCCATAGCTGCTCACCAGGACCCCATCAAAATACAGTTAAAAGACCCCTCTAAATTTCCCAACATTCCCCAATACCCCATTTCCCTAACACACCAAAAAGGCTTACAACCCATCATAAACAAGCTCTGCTCACGCCGTCTTCTTAGACCAACACATTCTCCATATAACACTTCCATCTTCCCCGTTAGAAAATCTGACTGCTCATATCAACTCATTCAGGACCTCTGAGCCATCAATCAGGCTGTCCTCCCTATTCACCCCATGGTCCCTAACCCCCATACACTTCTCTCCCTCATCCCCTCCAACACCACCCACTATACGGTAATCGACCTAAAGGATGCTTTCTTTACCATTCCATTATACCCTCTAACATAACCTCAAACTGTCATATATGCTCTGTCACTTCCTCCCAAGGGGCCCTCCGTTCTCCATCTCATTATCATATTTCCAGGCACTCTCTACAGATTTGTAGGCTTCCCTAAAAAAAAAAAAAAATTGCAAACTCTATTACCCACCTCCAAAACCAACTAGACTCCCTAGCAGCAGTTACCCTACAAAACCACAAAGGCCTTGATTGACTTACTGCAAAAAAAAGGAGGTCTCCACATCTTCCTAGATGAGGAATGCTGCTTCTATTTTAATTAGTCAGGCCTGGTTCAGAATGCAGTCAAAAAACTAAAAGACCGAGCGGTTCTCACAGAATTCAACTCATTCAATTTAATCAGTAGAAAACTCAGACAATATAAGAAACTACTGGTTATTGTTATGATAAACATGTTAAAATAAAATCTTGAAATTCAGAGAAACATATCAAAATAAACTCATTCTATTGACTACCAACTGTATGCAAACTCAATATTCAAGAACTAACATCGTCAGATCAGTCTGTGCAATAGTTTGAAAGTGTACCCTACAAAATTCAGGTGTTGTCAATGTGATAGTATTAAGAGACGAGGCCTTTAAGAGGTGATTATGTCATCAGGGCTCCTCTCTCAAAAACGGGATTAAGGCCCTTATATAGAAGGCTTCACACAGCATTTTGGCTAGCTTGCCCTTTCACATTCTGCCATGTGAGAACACATCATTTCTCTCCTTTGGAGAATGCAGGAAAAAGGTGCCATCTTGGAAGCAGAGTGCTGGCCTCACCAGACAACCACACCTGCCAACACTTTTATTTTCTCATAGATCTGGAGGATAGAAAGTTCAATATTTAATTTCTCTCTTTATAAATTACCGAGTCTCAGGTATTTTGTTATAGCATCACAAATGGACAAAGATAGGATGCCATAACAAAATACCATAGATTGGGGGGCTTAAACAGGAATTTATTTTCTCATTGTTCTGGAGACTTGAAGTCCAAGATCAACATGCCAGCAGAGTTGGTGCCTGGTGAGGGCTCTTCCCTTAGGTTGCAGATAGCAGCCTTCTTGCTGTGTGCTCACATGGCCTTTCATTCTTGCATGCTCCCGGAGAGAGTGAGAGCTCCTGTGTCTCTCCCTCTTTTATAAAGATACGAATCTTATCACACCAGGGTCCCACCCTCACAACCTAATCTAAACCTAATTACTTCCCAAAGGCCCCATCTCCAAACATCATCCCATTAGGGGTTAGGGCTTCAACATATGAATTCTGGGGGACACAAACATTCAGTTGGTAGTGGTAGGTTAAGCAATATGTTAATATAATTGTTAATCAGTAAGAAAGACGACACTGAAAAATGGCAGTGTCTTTCTAGTAAGGAAACCAAACTATGCTTGGACATACTTGTTAGCAAAGCTTAACTGAAAACAAAGTCAAAGTAAACAATCTTAGACTCCAGAATTATTCTCAAAACCAGCTTATTATTTTGTGACTCAGATTATCTGATTTGTAATAGTGAAATATCCAAACAAAACTATCTTGATAATATTATTATAAAACATCTGAGATCTTTATACTCTGGCTTTAATTTGAAAATTTAAACTGTATGTATGAATTTTTTCTACAGGCAAACCTACTAATCATTTTAAATTAGTTACTGTAAATTTTAAATGATCTGCAGTTTTTCTTATTGTAAAAATATCTTTACATGTTTTAAGAGCACCTTCAGAAATTATAAAATTATATATTATATCCTCACATATGATAGTAGGACACAGCTATAACCTCTAGCCTTAATTATAGGAAAAGTATAGATAACTGTAAGGCTTAGCTTTATTGTTTTATAAATGAACCAGTAAAGTTCATTTTAGTGAAATGAGCACATGCTTTTCATAAATTAAAATAAATCTCACATGGTAAAGTACCCATTTTGAAAATTAATTTAATTACATGTTTAAAGTTTAATTACATTTAATTAAGCATTTAAGTTTAATATGAAATAAATGAATTATCAGTTAACTCTATGAAATGAAATACTGCCTTGATAATTAAAATCTATAAATTTTCCTATTCTGTGCGAAACTGCTAGTTCTTACAAAACACTCAGAAAATATGTATTTTAAAGACTATAGGATTATATCCTCAAGGCTGATTAAGGAGTAATTTTTCTGGCACCTACGTTGGTGGGTGTACATTTACTGCCTCAGTAAATGGAGGTAGCACGGTACAAAAAAAAAAAGAGCAGAGGTTTTAGAAACTTGAGTTTGGGTGTTAGCTCAGTCACTGACAGCCTGCAACAGTAGGAGAGTTACTTAGCAACTCTAACCTGAAATTGCTTACAAAATGGGGTTAACATTCTCTTGGAGGGTTGTTGGCAAAATTTAATGAGTTATCCCATATTCAAACGTCTGGGAGAGTACCTGACTTGGAAAATATATTTGACACATGCTAATCCCCTCCTTACCTCAGCTGTTGAGTAAATGAAGAATAACACTGTACTTGCTGGTGTAAAAAAAAGTATTGTCCTTAAAATACATTTTTTTAAATCACAAAAGTAACACCATATTATTTTTCATTTAAATACATCAAACATAATATACATTTTACATTTATTTTCCTAAGCACTCTGTTAATGGAGACAGTATGGCATTATTGCTAATACAGATACTTGAATCAGGGAGAATTTACTTTGAACCTGGGTTCCACTCTTTACTATTATTTGAAAAATTATGGGAAAATTACCCTGACCTATTTCGCAAGCTTCTATGTAAATGCATGTTTGACTCTATCTGTGGCAAAAACTGGGAAACATAAAAATCAATATAATCACTCAAACTTAACAAAAATTTAGTGAGCTAGTAAGGCAGGTGGTATTTCCTCTTCTCCCTACCTCCAATTTTTCACATGAAGATATTGATTTTCACTGATTTTAGGTGATTTGCCCAAGGTTAAGGGTAGGATGAACTCAATATAAGAATCCAGATTTTAAAAATTCTTTTATCAGTGCTCATTACTCCATGACACAGGAAAGTAAAGGTGAAAGACACCAAAATCTTCTGAAGCAGTGAAGCAAAAAAGAAAGATAAATCTGACAGATTAAGCCTGGTTCTATCACTTAATAATTAAAACTCAGATAAATCAATTCTGTGAATTTCAGTATCTTCTAGAAAATGGGACTTCATACTTCTGCATATTAGTACTACATAACCCTGTATAGGGTTAATATAAGGATTATAGAAGATAACAAATGTAAAGTGCCTAACAGAGTGGCTGACACATAGCAGTAATACATTAATGGTAGTTATAAATGCTAAAACAACATCAAAGCACCGCTTTTGCTAAGTCTCTATCCATAGATTGGAGAACTCCATAATAAAGTGAACATTTTTGGAAACATTTAATAAGCATGAGTACAGTAGTCTCCACTAAATTCTCAGGTATTATTTTTAGAACAGAGACTATAAATTTTAAGTCATTTTGGTTCACAACGCCTTGCCTATTAAATCTTCATTTAATAGCTCATCTCATTTTGAAAATGGTTTTACAAATGCTTAAGAAAATATAAATGACAATCTGTTCCATAACTTACTGAAATAAAAATTGAAATTAAATATTCTTAATACTTTATAACATACATTATTCAGTGTCAAGTCCTGTAATTTTCAGAGTTTTGTCTTAATAATGTACTGGCAGTATAAACATGTTGCATTGTTTTGATACTTAAAACCCAAACTCTAAATTCTAAGTCACTTAAAATTATGCAGATTGTTTTATTTACAGCAGAGCCAGAAATAGAAAGCCTTCATAAATAAAATATTGTAAAGTATATACTTGTTTACGCTCTGAAAAAGTATATGCCAAAAAATTAAATTAAGCAAACGACACTAGTTTGTATCATTTTCATTGCTATTATTATCAATACATATTTATTAGGTGTCTATTTGCATTTAAAGCTGAAAGACTCTGATTTAGAACTGTTCTACATTTTCTTGAAAACCAGCACTTATAAATTTGGTGTCCTGATTTTTCAAGTTGCAAATTAGAGAAATAGTGGTTTCAGCAGTTACAGGACCAGAGAAAAAAGAAAGCCACAGATAATGAAATACTATGAAAAATACATAGACTTGAAGTTACAAATTATATAGAAAACTAATATTTATTATTATGATATTTACCCTTAGATGTGTATTCTTTCAAAAATGTGGTAAAAGTGCATTCTACTAATATTTGAAATCAGATTTTGTTATTAAATGGGTCATTAACTTACCAGGGTTCTACTTTGAGAGTTGAAGATATTTTCTCTGGAAGAAAAAATCCATGCCAATTTGAAGCCTCAATTAGTTCTTGTGGCATTCTTTTTGATGCATCATAATAGTGACCAAATCTTGAAGATGATACTGGTCCAATCTGCTAAAATAAACCCCATAGTGGTTGTTAAACAATTATTTTTAAGCTATAATTTATTTGTCCTACATCCAGCAAAACAATGGCATATTTATGAATTTTAAGCTAATAAGGAAGAACGGATATACATACACTAAGTAAATTTCAAAGAAGCATACAACAACCTTTATTATTTTAAACCATTTATAGTTACAAATCAACCTTTTTATCTTTCATGTTTCTTCACTTCTAGTGGTTCTCTAAATTTGACAAGAATTTACAAACCTCTTTGGTTTTTTTTCATTATACTGTATGCCTTCCTAAGTTCAAAACTTAATATACATAATTCTTAATTAATATTTAAGATTCTAGGTTTTAATGACAAATTAAATATGCAGTTGCCAAGAACTAACTGAAAACTTAAACCCAATTAATTCACTGGTAAGAGGTCCAAAAGAAACTAGCTATTTAAATATATTACACTGAGTATAATTTTAAAACTGAATTCTCACATAAGACAATATACGTGTATATTAAACATTTCTTGCAAATTTAAATTAAGCTTATAGGATAAAATGTACTACAATACTCCAGACAGGAACAAGGCACATGATAAAGTGGAAGAATGTATATGACCCACATTAGATCAATCAGAACCTGGCATAATCATTGGTTCATTGATAATTCCTCTTTTGTGTTCTCTACTAACAATTTCTCTAACAAATTATCTTTCTTATAAGAAACTCTAATTTATATGACACTGAATTTATTTATATGGGATAGCAAAAGTCTACTAACATAACATTATTATTACATTGCTTTGAATGGACTTTGAGCTAATTTCTTTCATTCAATACATTGAAAATATATATACATCACTATCCAAAATTGAACTATTAACAAATTCCACTTGGCAATAGTCTCTAATAAAAGATTTCAGATCTACTATTACATAATTTCCACTGTCTTGAAACATATAAGTTTCAGAATATTCAACAAAACTAGATAATCACTACAGAAATTGAAGAACTATACATAGTAGATACTTATCTAAGTGACAACTTTTTAATTTAGATAAGAAAGACATATTTGCTTGACACTAGATATTTGCATTTAAGACTTCAAGGATTCATATTCTTAAACTAAATGCCTACCAATAGGAAATTATACAGTAATAAGAAATAAAAATTTTTAAGTCTAATAGAAATACTTTTTTCAGATTCAGAGTCTGTGGGTTTGACATTTATTTTTTAAAATGAAATGACCGTTCATCCCTCCATAAGGTACTACTTACTTTCATTAATAAGATATGCTATCAGTTTGCTTCAATCTAATCTTTTCAATCCAATATGTACAGAATTCTTGTTCCCAAAACATAATTTATCCATTTATCATGAAACTATTGATAAATAAAATATATAATATTAAAATGTTTCTTAAAAATAGGGTACAAACTTAAAAAATGTAAAGTTATTAGTCTAAAGCAATTTAAACAAGGTCTGTTCTTTGGCCTATAATCTATTCTTTATCCGGATTATAGTTCAGAATGTTTTTATTGCAATCTCTGCTAGAGCTCATCTTTTTATTGTGTAAGTCCAAGCCCCCTTAATGTTTTAGAAAGGCCTTGACTAACTGAACTTTGATCTGATGTCTTCATTGAGAAAAACACCAGGTTGCCCATTTCAGATGCAAATCCCCCTCAGGCCCAATAGAATTTAGTAAAGACAGCAAAAAAGAAAAAACCAGAAGTTTCCAGGATCCTCTTTGAGAATCCTGGGGCACACTGGTGTCCTTAATCCATGCAGCAGCATGGATTAAGGTAGGTGATAACCTTTCCTGATTCAAAAGAATAAGCAGAGTGCCTACAAACTGGGTGGAGACTAGGATTTGGCTATAATAAAACACCATGCAATAAAAGCTTGGTCTATGTCAGAAGCCTCTGAAAAGGCCTCAATGTACCACATTCCCAGGCCTAGTAGGGAAGCTTGCAAAAGCCTACCTGAATCAAATAAGCATGAATAATCTATTTTAGCAGACTGGCCATGGGGAGAGAGAAAGAAAGAGACTTTTCACTTCTTTTAAGTTTGAGTTAATAAATTTATTAGTGGACTGAAAGTTCTTGAAGTCCTATGCACTCAGAGAAATATGCTAAATTGCCAAGAAGCAAAGTATGCTTTTTAAGTTGCCGTCTCTATTAATGTTTCTAATTACAATATTAATGTGATAGAAATCTCAGATTTGGAATGAATCAAGGCAGAAAATTGATTTCATGCTGAGACAGTTTACATATAGAACACAAATAATTCATTAAAATGTAAAAATAAAATTGGAAGCTTTTCTCATTATAATTGTTATTAATTTATTTAGAAATTAAAATTAGATATGGTAGCTAAAATATTCATAAGGTAGCCATGAAAATTTTATTGCTGATGAAAAACTTTAATCTTTTCAATTAACAATGAAAATAAAAATATATTCTTACAGGAAAAAACAATTTTCCAAATTTTTCTGCTCAAGACATATAACATTAACATATAATCAGATTTTGAAACACTGAAATCTTTTGAGGCCTAGAATTATAAAACAAAGACTTAGACATTTCCTCTAAAAAAGATAACTACATGCTGTAAATAAAATAATTATCATCTACAAAAAACTGTTATCAACTCAATAAAAATTGACACATTTAAAAATATCAAACTATTATCAATAACTAGTCAGCTTATTAGGTAAGAACATGTTGCTTTAGTTTTACATTATGAAAACTTCTAATTCACGTTCATAAACTACCTTTTGACTTTGTCGTCTGTGGAAGTGAGTAAAATGAAATGGTTCAGTAAAAATTTATGATGTTAAAAGGAAATGAACTTTGATGGGGGTACAGGAGGAAAACGGTAAAAAAAATACCGTACTCTACTTGTAGTATGTTACAAAGAAACAAAACTTTCAAAGAAAAGCTGCACCAAGAAAATCTAAATAAGACCTTTTCTTACTGTTGTTATTATTTCTTATTTCTCAGTATAGCATACCAGACATCAAGAATCCAAACAGTTTTTAAAACACTTTGATCCTCAGTTTAATCACTAGAATCTGGAGCTAATAATTATTTTACAAGGCTGTTGTGAGACTCTAATGTAATACTGGCAATGAATATTCTGTAAATTGTGAAGTAGTATGTAAATGTTATTCATTGTTATTATTGTGTCATGATTCACTAGAGAATGAGAAGATCCATCACTGTGTTTTGTAATTACATTGCCTTATTGAAAAAATGGTATTTGTTGGTCATCTACACCTATACACATCTACCACAGGGCTGCTGCAGCTAAACCACTAAGATAGAAAGTCAATGTTTGATGAGAATTTAACATAATAAAGACTTAACACACTGCCATGAATTGCTGGAGTCATTGTAGGTCATGGTATTAGAGCTCTACAATACTGAGAAAATTAAGTCTCAGAATATACTGTCGGCTAGCAATTCATGGAGTGAGTCAGGAATAGTGGTTGATGATTATAAGATAGGGGAGAAGAAGGTATGTCCACCTTAGAGAGAATTAAAATCACATGGTGAAGAAAAGAGGGCTTTTTTAAAACTATACACTCTTCAATTCAAATGAAGCACTGTTTTATGCTTTACTGAACTATTGTTATTGATCTAGGTATATATATTCTTGTCCACTTTTGCATTAGTAAGTGGTAATATGGCTACACCCTTAGGACCTGGTGACAACTTATTTTAAAAGGCATCTATGATAATCAATACACCTACTTTTGAACTATTTATTTAATCTTAAGCCACAATTATGTTAACTGCATTTTGTCCCAAGTAAAATAAAGAAAACACAGTGAAGTCTACGGCCAAACCACCCTGAATGTGCCCAATCTCATCTGATCTCAGAAAACCCAGTGATATGGTTTGGTTCTGTGTCCCCACCCAAATCTCAACTCAAATTGTAATCCCCACATGTCGAGGAAGGATCCTGGTGAGAAGTGATTGGATCATGGGGGTGGTTTCCCCCATGCTGTTCTCCTGATAGTGAGGGAGTTCTCAGGAGATCTGATGGTTTAAAAGTGGCAGTTTCCCCTGTGCTTTCTCTCCTGCTGCCATGTAAGATGTGCCTTGCTTCCCCTTCACCTTCTGCCATGATTGTAAGTTTCCCGAGGCCTCCACAGGTATGTGAAACTGTGAGACAATTAAACCTCTTTTGTTTGTAAATGACCCAGTCTCAGTGAGAATGAACTAATACAGCCAGGTTTTTTTTTTTTGTGTGTGTGTGTGTGTGTGTGTGTGTGTGTGTGTGTGTGTATTAAAATGAGAAAGGCAAAGTAAAGCCTAGATTTATAAAGCAGATAATGACGAGTGATCATCAAAGCCTATCAGTCTTGGCAAATCATTACATATAAAATTACCTTAACAGGCAAATATACATGCTAGTGACATTTCAAAGAAAAGCAAAGAAGTCAGAAGGTGGTTCTATTTTCTAAATTGGATACAACTCACTGTAAATACAAGTAAACATAAGCATGATCATTGACTGCATATTCAAAATAAGCTATCATTTTGTCTGTATTGATTAATGTGTCTTAGCTCAGTTTAATATTTAATCTACATACTATTCATTCCTTCATGCATCCAACAAATAATTACTGAGCACCTACTAAATGTCAGTAAAACAAAACAGTCAAAGTCCCTTTCTCTCATTGAGCTCACATTCTAGTAGGAGATAGATGATAATAATAAATTAGATATATATTATCATTTAATGATAAGTGCCTTTAAGAAAAGTAAAGCTGTGAAAGAAGATGATACAGAGTGGTTTTATCTCATTTACAGCGACAAAGGCAGTCACTTCTGGTAAAGTAATCTTTTAGTAGAGACCTAAGAAAATGAAAAAATAAATAATCTGGACAAGTTCATCATAAGAAGAGAACAATTTTCAAAACATTCAAGCTTTAAACCTTGAAAACTGAGCACCAGGGCCGGGTTCAGTGGCTCATGCTTGTAATCCCAGCACTTCAGGAGGCCAAGGTGAGAGGATTGCTTGCTTGAAGCCAGGAGTTTGAGACCAGCCTGGGCAACATAGTGAGACCCTATCTCTACAAAAATATTAAACAATAAGCTGGGTGCTGTGGCATGCACTTGTGGTCTCATATTTGTGAGGCTGAGGTGGGAAGGTCACCTGAACCTGGGAGGTCAAGGTTGCAGTGAGACATAATTGTGCCACTGCACTGTAGCCTGGGCGACAGAGCAAGATCCTATCTCAAAAAAAAAAAAAAAAAAAAAAGAAGAAGAAAAGAAAAAAAAAGGAAAAGTGTACTAAGTTTATTTGTTAATATGCAACCTTAATTAATAGGTAACAAAGCCAATGGCAGGTACACCAGACTCTAAAAGGAAGAACAAAATTAGCACTACTCACTGGGGCAAGGATAGTATCTATGATTCGAATTTATAAAAAACAATGTATTTTTAGAGAAACAAATAATTTTTACCCCAACTCTATATAGCTTTCATAATAAGCAATAAAAGAAAAGGCTGGCCAGGTGCGGTGGCTCACACCTGTAATCCCAACACTTTCGGAGGCCGAGGTCGGCGGATCACGAGGTCAGGAGTTCAAGACCAGCCTTGCCAACACAGTGAAACCCCATCTCTATTAAAAATACAAAAATTATCTGGGTGTGGTGGTGTGCATCTGTAATCCCAGCTACTTGGCACGCTGAGGCAGGAGAATCGCTTGAACCCGGGAGGCGGAGGTTGCGGTGAGCTGAGATCGTGCCACTGTACTCCAGCCTGGGTGACAGAGCAAGACTCCATCTCAAAAAAAAAAAAAAAAAAAAAGAGAAAAGGCTTAAAGCTTTAGTTACTTGCATTTTTGACAACCATTTCACTTGAGAATGCTAATTACCAATGAAAAGACCAAAATCAGCTGGGTGCAGTGGCTCACACCTGGAATCCCAGCACTTTGGGAGGCCAAGGCAGGCAGATCACCTGAGGTCAGGAGTTCGAGACCAGCCAACATGATGAAACGCCATCTCTACGAAAAATACAAAAGCTAGCCTGGCGTGGTGGTGGGCAACTATAGTCCCAGCTACTCGGGAGGCTGAGGCAGGAGAATCACTTGAACCTGGGAGGCGGAGGTTGCAGTGAGCTGAGATCGCTCCACTGTACTCCAGCCTCTAAACTTAGAGTTTAGGTTCATTACTGACTCTTTCAGGACACAGCAATAGAAAAATTAGAATACAGTCACCATTAAGGCCAGTCACTTGAATGAATCTGCCAGAATCAAAGACGTGAAGTTCTTTGCCATTAGGGTTCTCAAGTGCTAGTCCTATATTTCTAGTCTGTTTTGATTTCTATCACTTAACTCATATTTTTCTAGACAGACTAACCTCTATTCTGGCCTCTTGCACCCAGTTCTCGTTCACATCCAAGCTAGGCTATATCTGTAACAACTTCTGATTACACAGAGCTTCCTTCTATTTTTTAAAACAAATGTATAGTATTTTACTGTTCAGACATACCATAATTTATTTAGCTAGTTGCTTACTGATAGACATTTAGGCTATTTTCAATCTCTTGCTGTTAAAAAAATCTGCTGTATGAATAGCTCATGTGTATTTACTTTTACATTTGAGTAAATATATTCATGATGTAAATATCCAAAAGAATCAAAGAATATATGTTTTTGTAATCGTGAAGGTTACTACCAAAATACTTTCTACAGAAGTTGTACCTTTTTACATTTTCACCAGCAAAGTATGAGTATCAGCTTCCCCCATCCTAGCTAATACAGTGTCTTACCAAGTTAGATCATTGTCAATTTGATAAGAGAAAAATAGCAGGACAGTGTAGTTTTCATTTGAATTTCTCTCATTAAAACTGAAATTGGGCATATGTTTTGTATGTTTAAGAGTCACTTACATTTCCTTTTCATATTTCTGCCCATTAAAAAAAATCAGTTGTAGAATTTTCCTTTTTCATTTTAAGTTATTTGTATATAAGGAAAATTTGTCCTTATTTTATAATTTGAGTTGTAAATATTCTCTCTTAAATTTGTAGTTTGTTCACAGTCATTTAAATCACAGCTTAAAAATATTATTCAAATAGTTTCCACACAAATTAGAACAATATGTCATTGCTTAATATGCATCTATTATAACATGTTTTATATCTGGTACACAGATGATACTTAGTATTTGCTGACTGAATGAATAAATACATTTATCATTATTATTGATTAAAAGAGCATTAGCATAAGTGCTGGAGGTACAAGAGAAAATAAAACAAGCTCTCTGCCTCACAGAAAATTTTCTGTGTGGTGGAGGAGAGAGTTACACTACCAATTAAGTATAAAACAATGAGAAAGATGTATATATACATGTTTTTTGAGACGGAGTCCTGCTCTGTCGCCCAGGCTGGAGTGCAGTGGCACGATCTCAGCTCATGGCAACCTCCACCTCCCAGGTTCAAGCAATTCTCTGCCTCAGCCTTCTGAGTAGCTGGTATTACAGGCGCCCGCCACCACGCCCAGCTAATTTTTGTGTATTTTTAGTAGAGACGGGGTTTCACCATCTTGGCTAGGCTGGTCTTGAACTCCTGACCTTGTGATCCACCCGCCTCGGCCTCCCAAAGTGCTGGGATTACAGGCGTGAGCCACTGCACCCAACCCAGAGAAAGATGTATTTTAAAATATATGAAGTGCTACAGGGAGAAAAAGGAAAGCAGAAAATTAGTATGGAAAGCCATAAGAGGTAGTAACATTTGAACTTGGAGAAGGATGCATTGGTGAGTAAGAAAGTGAAAAAAGCATTACTAAAAGAAATACAAGCAATTTATAAGAAGCAATTCTCAAAAGATAGTTGAATGTAGTGTTTTATATACACAGGAGGAAGAGGCTAAAAAGGTAGGCTTGGATTAGATTATACAGATTTTGTATACATACAATCTTAAATTTGTATTTCATATTGCGAGCTTATAATATCAAACAGGTTTGATCCCATATACTAACTTTCATTAGTGGTAGCGGCTACCCAGAACATTCCTGTAGAGAAGAATTCTAAGGCTGTGTCTGAGTTTGGCAGCATAGTATTAGAGGGTACTACAGTCTGCTATTTATTTAGAAGGGGGTAGTGAAAACAGGAAACCAAATGAGGCATTTGAAGTTAAAGGTATCATACACATATTTCTATCCTTGGGAAAGATAACACTGATGTCAATGTGGAAGACTAGAGAAGGATGGACAAAGGAAACTATGTCTTATTCAGATTAGAATATTCCTTTCTTTTCTACTAGTATGCTAATATCTGATAGATGTTAAATAATGTAGTCTGAAAAGTGAATGAAGTGAACAATCAAATAAGGGAGCTAATAAATGAACCATGCCATCACCAGGAATAGAGTTCATGAGTTTTACTGGACAGATTTATTGGCATTTGTTCTGACTTCTCAGAAATTTTTCCTTCATTTCTTACCTATTCTGTCTGTTCTGAATAGATGACATTACCAGATAGATGAGTTTGAAAATGTAATGATTGAAAATGTATAAGGATAAAAATAGTAATTCCAAAGAACCATCACTTACATTGAATATTTATAGGTAAACATACTGGATAGAAATGGCTTCATTAGTTCACTTACTCTGTCTTGCAACTCTAGAATAAAGCATTCTATATGGGCATTATGGAAGAAATGAAACAACCTATTTTGGTAAAAAACAAGTTACCATAGATTTTATTTGTAAGAAATAGATCATCTTGACCAAATACTCTACAAATGAAACAGCTAATTCTTTAAATAAACAAATACACATATAGGCATACCACAAGAGATTCTGTAAGATGAAAACAAATGCATTTGCAAATTTTGGAAAGAATTTGTATGTTTACTTGCCTCCATCTTGGGTAATAACTGGTAACGCCAAGCTATTTTCATCTTAATATTAGATTCTGGTGTTTTATGATTGTATACATCTTCATCAAATTCCTTTTTACATTTATCATCAAGTAATGGTGCTGGAAGTTCCTAAGAAAACAAAATGACACATAATTGAGATTCTGTGGTAAAATATGACAATTTTCTTAAACCATAATATTAGCAACACTAGAAATTTCCAATGTATTGAAAATTCATGACTAACATTGATTTAAATACAAATTCATAAAAATAGACATTTCTAAAACAGAGAAAACAAGTATAATACAAACATTTAAGTTTAACTTTTTAGCAATAAACTGGAATTTAAAGAAAATATCCAAATTTCTATACTCACAAAAATCAATTGCCATTCTAACAAGAGGTTATACTCAATTCTCAAAACGTATCTGCTTAAAGCAAAGTCTGGAATTAGTACTTATGTATTCCATATAATTATTATTATGTTGGCCACAAGGTAAAAATAAAACATTTGCACAATCTGCTTATTGGTTTGTAATTTTAGAATTCAAAAAAGCAATTCACTAAAATAACGAGTGAAGTAACAACTAAGAATAATGACATTTATTTTACCTACATCAAATGCTAGCTTTGCACCTGCAAGCTTATGTCTCTTCTTTAACAATAATCTCTGATTAAATGAAGAGACAGTAAGTTACAATTTATTAATTTTGGAAGGTGACCAACTTCATAACCATAAAATACATAAAAAACTAGAAAACATGTTTGTTAAGCGGTACTATAGAAAGAATTCAAAGAAAACTGTATTTAAGTTTCTTGAAGAAGGAAAGCACATACAATAATTTTGTTTTATTTTCTATTAGAATCATAAAGATAATGTAGGGCATTGGATTAGTAAATATAACGTGTGCTATGTTATATATTAGTCTAAATTGCAACTTCTACTTTTCAAGATCAAATTTACTTATGCTTAGAATCATGTCGACAAATCAGCTCAAAACACATTAACTGTTAATATGATATATTTTACTCACCTTCTAAAAGACCTCAAAGTGAATTCACATTTTAATTAATGCTAGTCTTAGAAACTAGTTATATCATTTAAGCTGTGAATCCATCATTCCTAGCTAAGCATTAGTATCTTACAGTATAAAGTAACTTCATTTTCCAGTGGAAATACGTATTTGTGAGAGTATAGTGTAATACAGCATAGTGGTTATGAGTTTGAATTCGGCAACTAGAATGTCCAGTTCAAATCTTGACTTTGCACTAGTAGCTGTGTCTGT
Organism: Homo sapiens; assembly: GCF_000001405.40. Classification (NCBI taxonomy): domain Eukaryota; kingdom Metazoa; phylum Chordata; class Mammalia; order Primates; family Hominidae; genus Homo; species Homo sapiens. Next base: position 31,593,612 of record NC_000011.10, on the reverse strand, counting down.
GTTACCACAGGACCTCTCTATGTCTCCATTCATCATCTAAAAAATGGAGGTAATAGTATTTACTTCAGGCTGCGTGCAGTGTCTCACACCTATAATCCTAGCGCTTTGGGAGGCCAAGGTAGGGGGGGATCACTTGAGTTCAGGAGTTTGAGACCAGTTTGGGCAACATGACAAAACTCCATCTCTACAAAAAATACAAAAAGATTAGCTGGGTGTGGTGGCACATGGCTGTAGTGCCAACTACTTAGGGGAGGATCGCTTGAGCCCAGGAGGTTGAGGCTAAAGTGAGCCAAGATCATGCCACTGCACTCCAGCCTGGGTGACAAAGTGAAACCCTGTCTTAACAACAACAACAACAACAACAACAACAACAACAACAACAACAGTATTATTCACTTCAATGGGTTGTTGTAAGGAGTAAATAAGTTAAAAATGTAAAATACAGAGAATGATGTTTGCTACATGTTAGGAATCCTACAAATGTTAGATTGTGAGAAGTCAGTCAAACAATTGTCCTCAGAGCCACACATTTTGTATTGTCAATATTGGGCAACAAATTTAGTATAATGTATTTGGTTTAACATCTTTTTCAACCCCAGGGACACCTGGCAATAGTTGTAACAATGGTTACTCACAACTTAATAATAAAAACATTTGAAAAATAACTTATATCACACTGTCCTCTTATTGTGGAAAATAGGCCAATTCTAAGAAATGCTCTTACATTAATGTGTACAATATTAGAGAAATAACCCTAAAATACTAGAGATTCATTAATATGTTTAACTTATCTAAACAAGATGAGACTATAAAATATAGGTAAGCATTTCCTCATTTAAGTTATTAAATATGTATCTATTCCCATAATAGACGTTTTACCATGTTAAAAACTTTTAATGTATCATGAAAATTATAATGATTCCAAGTTTAATACTGATAAGGCACTCATTTTCAAAAGATGTACAGAAAATACACTTTATCAATTAATGCCTATGTAAAGGATATAAGGTTTCTTATATATACATATACATATATAAGGTTTCTTATATATACATATATAGGTTATAAGATTTATTATATATACATACATATATATATTATATACACATATATACACACATATATATATACACACACACACCTCCTGGGCTCAAGTGATCCTCCCACCTCAGCCTCCTGAGTAGATGGGACTACAGGCACATGCCACCATGCTTGGCTAATTTTTGCATTTTTTGTAGTCCAGATTTCACTATGTTGCCCAGGCTGGTGTTGAACTCCTGAGCTAAAGCAATCTGCCTGCCTCGGCCTCCCAAAGTGCTGGATTACAGGCGTGAGCCACCACTCCCAACTCTTTATATATTTTTTAAAGTGAAATAAAATTGACATAACATAAAAACAACATTTTAAGTAAAAAATTTGGTAATTTTTAATAATTCAGAGTTGTGTAACCATCACCACTATCTACCTTCATCAGTCCCCCAAAAAACTGCACACCCATTTAGAAATCACTCCACATTCCCCTTCTCTCCTGCCCCTGGCAACCACTAATCTTGTCTTTATGGATTAGTCGTTCTGGACATTTCCTATAAATGGAACCATACAATACGTGACCTTTTGTGTCTGGCTTCCTTCATTTAGAGTAATGTTTTCAATGTTCCTCTATGTTGCACCATGTTTCAGTATTTCATTCTTTTTTATGGTCGAATACTATTCATTGTATGTATGTACCACATTAACTACTCATCACCTGACGTACATGGATCATTTCTATTCTTAAGTTATTATGAGTAATGCTGCTGTAAATATTCACACACAAACTTTTGTGTGAACATGTTTTCCACTGTCTTTGGTATATACCTAGATGTGGAATTCCCGAGTCACAGGATAATTCCATTTTTAACTATTTGAGGAACTGCCAAAATGTTTTCTACAGTGGCTGCACCATTTTACATTCCGACCAACAATGTACGTGGGTTCCATTTATTCTATATTCTTAGCAACCAATTGTTGTTATTATTATTATTATTTTTAAATAGCTACCCTAGTGGGGATGAAGTGGTATCTCAATGCGGTTTGGATTTGCATTTTCCTAACGACAATGATACTGAGCATAACTTCATGTGCTGGGTTGGCCATCTGTATTTCTTCTTTAGAAATATGTCTATCATGGTTTTATACCCCCCCCCCCCCTTTTTTTTTTTTTTTTTGAGATGGAGTCTCGCTCTGTCACCCAGGCTGGAGTGCAGTAGTGCCATCTCGGCTCACTGCAAGCTCCACCTCTCGGGTTCATGCCATTCTCTTGCCTCAGCCTCCTGAGTAGCTGGGACTACAGGCACCCACCACCACGCCTGGCTAATTTTTTGTATTTTTAGTGGAGACAGGGTTTCACCATGTTAGCCAGGATAGTTTCAATCTCCTGACCTTGTGATCCACCCACCTTGGTCTCCTAAAGTGCTGGGATTACAGGCGTGAGCACTGTGTCTGGCCCTTATCCCATTTTTAAATTGGGCTGTTTATCTTTTTGTTGAGTTGTGAGACTACTTTATTTATTTTAGATAGTAGACATTATCAAATATATTATTTGCAAATATTTTCTCCTTGGACACTGGAAGCGTCCATTGATGGACCAAAGATCTTAATTTTGATGAAGCCCAATGATACAGTTTGGATGTATTCTCCATCCAAATCTCATATTGAAGTGTAATCCCCATTGTTGGAGGTGGGACCTGGTGGAAGGTGAACAGATTATGGGGGCGGATTGCTCATGAATGGTTTAACATCATACCCCATGGTATTGTCCTTGCAATAATGAGTTCTGGTGTTTAAAAGTGTGAACTACCTTCCTGCTTGCTCTCTTGCTCCTGCTCCTCCCATGTGAGATGCCTGTTCTCAATTTGCCATCTGCTATGATTAGACGCTTCCTGAGGCATCCTCAGAAGCATAAGCCACTATGCTTTCTGTACAGCTTGCAGATCTGTGAGCCAATTAAACCTCTTCATAAATTACCCAGGCATTTCTTTATAACAATTTGAGAATGGCCGAATACACCCAACTTATCTGTTTCTTTCTTTTGCTGCTTGTGCTTCTGGTGTCATATTTAAGAAATTGTTGCCTCATTCGAAGTCACGAAGGTTTATACTTATGTTTTCTTCTAAGGATTTTAATTCTTAAATTTAGCTCTTTGATACATTGAAAGTGAATTTTTATATACTGTGTGAGGTAGGGGTTCTTATATTTTTATAAGACTGAAGTATCAGTTATGTTGAAATTATTATTGAGTACCAATATATGCAAAGTCCTGGTCTAGTTTTTTGTGGACACAGCAGTGAACAAATTTAGTAACAATAACAAGAGTACATATATATATATAGTACTTGCTCTATTCAGGGCAGTTCTAAGTGCTTTAGATATGTTAATTCAGTGTTCGATAATAAACTTATGAGGTAGGTACTATTATTATTGCCTTTTAGGTTGGTGCAAAAATAATTGCGGTTTTTGCCATTACTTTTAATACATAATGGGAAACTGAAACATAAAGAAGTTAAGTAACTTGTCCAAGGCCACAGAGCTAGTAAAAAATGGAGCTGGGAATCTGAAGCCAGTTGGTAGTCTGATTCCAGAGTGTGTGCTCTTAACCACCATGCTATATTGCTTCTATAATAAGCTTTCATTCTATTTATGGAGTAAAACAATAAACAAACAAATAAATAATAGGTCACATGATAATAATGTATCATAAAAATTATAATGATTCCAAGTTTAACACTGATAAAGATGTTTTTTGTGGACAAGTGTAGAACTGGAGCAAAGTAAGAAGGCAAAGACTCCATTTTAATAAACTTAGTAAAGGATGGCCTTTCTGATAAGGTCAAAACTGATGGAGACAATTCTATATATAATTAGTTGAAATTCTATAAAATATACTACTATAGAACTTGTCACATAGATGTGGTATCATCTATATACAATTTATAATCTTTCAGAAATATATCTATGCTATTGCCCAGATCTTGACATAGTAGAAACAGCACTAATGTTAAGAGATTCAGGTATGTGAAGAATCCAAGGTTCTGTAATTTAATCTTGCTTTATTCTTCAAATGCATATATGAGACTTATCGTACAGTAAAAAAGGAGTACATAAAAGAGGCACTAGATGATCTTTACTGTCCATATTTATATATAGCTCTCTCTTTTCTGAATTCCCATTTCACTTTCATCTGTGCCAAACATTTTGGTACTGGATCATATGCAGCTTGATATTCTTCGACATTTCATGTATGTATAATCTCATTTTCCAATAAAGGCTATAAATTTCTTGACAGGTAGGGACTATATGGTAATGTATATATTCTGACCTTGTTATAAAATGAGCACCGTAAGAAGTACAAAGAAGATACTCAAGAGATGCTTAGTGAAATGAACCACAGAAACTTCCTGGAACAATCTTAGTGGGCCAATTTTGTGTTATTCTCAAGGGAATTAATACCACAGCTTTCTTTGGGCTCCTTATGTTTCATGTGCTAATCTTTCTCTATCCCTATTATGTTGCAATTCTTTCTCAGTATAATGTGAGGTACATGTTTTCCATTTAATATGTTATTTGTTTTTTAATTATTATTATTATTTTTGAGACAGAGTCTCACTCTGTTGCCCAGGCTAGCATGCAGTGGCGTGATCTTGGCTCACTGCAACCTCAACCTCCTGGGCTCAAGCCATTCTCATGCCTCAGCCTCCTGAACAGCTGGGATGACTGGTGTGCGCCACCACGCCCAGCTAATTTTTACATTTTTAGTAGACATCGGATTTTACCATGTTGGCCAGGCTGGTCTTGAACTCCTGACCTCAAGTGATCTGCCCGCCTTAGCCTCCCAAAGTGTTGGGATTATAGGCGTGAGCCACTGTGCCCAACCTTAATATGTTATTTTACTGCAAAATATTGAACTTATAGTTCATTTCATCATTTTGAAAAACATAAAAGTTTTTCAGCCGATATATCCTGGAATTTTTAAAAAATAATAATTTAAAAAAAACAATTTCAAACAACGCGGAGAAGTACAAAGAAGAATTAGTAATCAAGGAAATGTGCTTTAAAACCAGTTACTATTTCCCACCCATTATACCGGCAAGCAAACAAATGAAACATCTAAAAATACCAAAGTTGTTAAGAGACCAGAGAAACTGGAAGTCTTATTCACTGCTGGTGGGAAGTTAGGAGTTTACCAGTTTTACTACTGAAAAACCACTTTGGAGAACAATTTGGAAAAATTTCAGCTGAAAATGTGCATATCCTACCAACTACTCCTGAATAAAAAACCTCATACACATGCCCCAAGAAGTAAAGAATCATCATTGAGCATTTTAATAACAATATAAATATCTATCAATAGGAAATGGTTAAACTGTTATATAAACATATTATTAAAAAGAATAAGATTGATATGAAATAGAATGGAAAGATCTGGAAAATAATGTTGAATCAAAAAATCATGTGGAGTATAACATAAACAATATGATAGTTTATGCAAATTTTTAAAAATCCACAAAGCATATACAGAAACATATATGTTTTAAAAGTATATAAACAGTTTGGAAAGAAATACGTCAAATTTTGCATTATAGTTGAAGAATAGGAAGGAAAATAAAAGACTTCAACTATCAACTATAATGTTCTGTTGCTTTTATTACAAAAAATATTTGTGCATACATAAAACATGAATAAAAAAATAATTTTGTTAATTATCAGTGGTGGTGTTAATTACACTATGGTATAAATATATTTAGTTTTTAAAGCTATCTTTAAAAATGTAGAAAGCTAAAAAATTTTAAAAGCCAAAACCCCCTGCGGACAATCATTGTAACATTAAGTAAGCAACATTTCCAGTTTACACTTACCCATAAATATGCTAGAAAAATATTACCATAACAATAGTATTACATAATAAAATATCAATAATTAATATTAACACTTTATAGAAAAAAACAAAAATAAAGTAAAATGGAAAGAACTAAAGAACTATTGAACTGATCAACAATTCTTCAGTTCAAGAGAGATTATTTCTCAACATGTTCTCCCCTAAGATAAATAACATGATTTTGGAGCACAGTAAGAAGTTGGCATTAGTATGCTCCTTTTTACACTTTTCAGCTTGCAACAAAATCAATTTCTCTTTCCTTTTCCCCTTCTCTAAAACATGAGGAAATTAGCACTTACTTTCTCTTAACTCCTCTCCCTCAAATCTCGTTTTTTTCCCCCCTATTACTTCAGTGCTGTTACGGTTTATAACGTTTTACATTCTAGTCTGTAACCAGACACAGAGTTACTTAGTTTAGGTTGTTAACATGGATTCATTCACCACTGGTCCTTTTAAAACAGGTCCACCTTTCTTGAGTTACCTTAGTTGATAACTGCATTTACTTAACAGTCAGGAAGGCACTAAGAATAGAGCAGTGAACAGAGTAAAGAAAGTCTCTGCTTTCATGAAGTTATATTCTAGAAGGGCAGCGATAGGAACTTCTAAGAAAACAGAGGGAAAGAATACAGAGTAATGGGGAGAGGCATTACTTAAAATAGGGTAGTCAAAGGAAGCTCTCCCTGACAAGGTAGATAGATTATATTTTTGATTATTTTTTTCAAGAGAGATCATGGAGTTTCTTCATGTTTAAAAATATTTGGCCGGTCGCCGTGGCTCACGCCTGTAATCCCAGCACTTTGGGAGGCCGAGGCAAGTGGATCACGAGGTCAGGAGATTGAGACCAGCCTGACCAACATGGAGAAACCCCGTCTCTACTAAAAATACAAAATTAGCCGGGCGTGGTGGCCGGTGCCTGTAGTCCCAGCTACTCGGGAGGCTGAGGCAGGAGAACGGCGTTGAACCCAGGAGGCGGAGCTTGCAGCGAGCCGAGATTGCGCCACTGCACTCCAGCCTGGGTGACAGAGCGAGCAAGACTCTGTCTCAAAAAAAAAAACCAAAAAACATACAAAATTTGACTGGTATTAAAAATACTAGAGTAACACTGTGGTTGTATATAATATTTTGTAATACTTTCATTTGCTTAGAAATAGGTGGCCAGTGCTCTGCTGTCTTTGGACAAAGACCGATGCTGGAGAGAAGTCTGAAGACTTCCATCCTTGTAGATGACTTGCTTTTTCTGCATGAATTCTTGAAAAACTCTTCCTTCAACAACTTACATGGGCTATACGTGTATCCATTGCTTTATATTATTCCTTCCCCAACACCTGTAAAACGGATGCTTTCTTGAGCTGATTCTCCTTTTCCTTATTTCCAAGTAAAACTTTGTCTTTGTATTTCACATTTATTTTTCTGTTCCATATTAAAATAGAATATATCTTTGTTGATATAAATGTTAGGTATATGTTTGACAGTGGTAAAACTTCACGCAGTAAACAATTTATTGTTAGATGAGTATTTTCCCAGAAGTCGGGACCATCATTGACCAACAGAACATTCTGTGATGTTGAAGGTGTTCTATACCTGCACTGTCCAATACAGTAGCCACTATCTACTTAAATTTATTAAATAAAAAATTTCCCACATTGTAATCATATTCTCATTTAATGTTTTCTTTTTCCTTGAACTCCTGGGCTCAAGTGATCCTCCCACCTCAGCCTCCTGAGTAGCTGAGACTACAGGCACATGCCACCAATCCTGGCTAATTTTTAAATTTTTTGTAGAGACAGGGTGTTGCTATGTTGCCCAGGCTGGTCTTGAAATCAAGCAATCCCTCCACCTCAGCCTCCCAAAGCTCTGGGATTACAATCATGAGCCATCATGCCTGGTCTTCTCACTTAATGTTTTAATCTCTTCTCTAACTTCAGTTCAACTATCATAAGCCTGTTACTGCTGCTAATTTACTGGGTAATGATGTTAAGTCAACTTGTACTTTTAATTATGCAATTATTCTTTTTATCTACTCATGTTTTATCATTTTATCTTTGTGATTTTATTTTCTTGAATTCATGTTCTTACTAAATTCCTCTATAAATCTCTTACGGAGGAATTTCCTTGTGTTCTTGGGTTACGTTTTCTTTCAGATTGATGTGTTTTTCTTCCAGTTAAAGCTTGACGAATGAAGATTTTGATAGTCACTCATTATTCTGTAACTTCAGGTTATAAGAGGTTAGGCAAAATTAAGTGCAATCTTTTTTTTTTTTTTAATAATACCCAGGCTCTTTATTCTCTTGTGAGATTTCATGAAATGTAGGTTCCTGTGTTAACATCATTTGCCTCAGTGAGTATTCGGTTCCCATTCAGGAGGTGGTACATTATTAGGTCTTGGATTTTATCTCCAAATCTGTGTTGCATTGTGAAACATTTGTTTAAATTTGAGACAATTGGCCCTAATTAATTCTTAAGATTATCCTAATTAATTTCTGAATGTGACAGTGAAGTTTTGAACCACACCAAATGATGACAAACTCTATACATTTATGGCATTAGGTTGAACCTTGACTTTTCTTGTTTTGTTTGTCACAACTGATTTTTTTGGAGTATTTAAAATTATTTTTTGTTTCATAATGTAGGAGAGACCTATGATCCATATCTGTTACTCTGATATCTTACCCTAAAATACCTAAAATGTAGTAATTCTTAAATATACTTTAGAAAAAATTTGAATGTGAAGAGTAGAGGAATAAATACTCATTACAGTACCATAAGGGAACTAACTGGACATTCTGTTTAGAACATTTTAACTATATAAAAACTGCCTACTTACTCATATTCATTGGTGGTCATCATTCTACCTCTGAATAAAATCTACGAATTGGCCGGGCGTGGTGGCTCATGCCTGTAATCCCAGTATTTTGGGAAGCCGAGGTGGGCATATTACCTGAGGTCAGGAGTTTGAGACCAGCCTGCCCAACACGGCGAAACCCCGTCTCTAGTAAAAATACAAAAAAATACAAAAAATGGCGGGTGCGTGTAATCCCAGCTACTTGGGCAGCTGAGGCAGGAGAATCGCTTGAACCCGGGGGTGGAGGTTGCAGTGACCTGAGATCATGCCACTGCACTCCAGCCTGGGCAACAAAAGCAAAAGTGTCTCAAAAACAAAACAACAACAACAACAAAACAAAACAAAAAAACTATAAATTATAAATTATTTTAAAGTTATCTTACATTCTTGGTTCTCTATTATTTTCCTGCCTTTATATATAATAAATAAATCACAATAAAATCATATTAATGTTACTGCTAATAATAAAATCATATCAATATTTTTTATTGCCTTGTGGGAGCAGAATAAAACTTGTAGAATGTAAAGGAAAAGGTTTCCAGATTTTGATATTCTCAACCTTTCCTTTGCCCCACAGCCCTATCCTCAAGGTGGAGAACAACTAATTTTATTTCTGAAATGAGAAAGTAAACAAGTATTTTAATAAAATATTATAAATACTTAAATTTAATTAACTTATATCTAGCTTGCAAAATCTATTTGTTTTCATGTACAATTGTCTAAAACTTATTTTTCCCAATTGCCTTTTTCTGCATTTAAGAAAAGATCCTAGATACCAATTAAAACATTTTATGATCTAAATTAGTTTGTTAATCTCAGTTATAAAAACATATCAGCATTATTTATGAAACCATTGGTCTGGAAGTATGCTGTTCAACATTCTAGCTTCTAGCTATTAAAATTTAAATTTATATTAATTAAAATTAAATGAACGAAAAAGTTAATCTCAACTGCACTAGCCACATTTCAAAGTGCTTAATAGTCGAAAGTAGTTAATAGCTTCTCTATTTCACAGTTCTGGAATAGAACATTTCCAACACCACAGAAAATTCTGTTGGTCAGTTCTAGAATAGAAAATAGGAAATGTATTTATTTATTTACCTAACACTTTAAATTGTTTACTATATGAAGTTTTACAACTGTCAATAACACACTTTTCACTTATATCAACCAGAATTTTGAAGAAGCATCACACTTAATTGTTTAAAATGAAAATCAGTAGTTCAGTAGTTTATTTTTATTATTATTACTTTTTGAGTTGGAGTCTCGCTGTGTGGCCCAGGCTGGAGTGCAGTGGCATAATCATAGCTCACCACATCTTTGAACTCTGGGGTTCAAGGAATCCTCTTGCCTCAGTCTCCTGAGTAGCTGGGACCACATGCCGCACACCACCACACCTGGCTAATTATTTTCTTTTTAATCTTTTGTGGAGTTTATCATTTCTCTACTGTTAGAAATTTAGGTTGTTTGCAATCCAAAAATGCTACAACAAACGTGGTTTATAACATAAACATCCTTTGCATCTCAAATTTTTTTTTCTATGAGATGTAGAAAACATGCAGAAAAGAATAGAGAATAATATAGTAAACATCACAGATTCTACCACATACATGGCTTTAACAAATCATAACAACTGGCAACTTAGAAAACAAACCAGCAACTTCAGCAAGCAAAGAACAACAGTTGTGTGAAAACAGAAGGGTTGGTTGAAAAATTTTTAAAGGAACCATAAAGACCTACAGATCCTTTACTTTTCCCTAAGAGTCAGGATTCTACCCACCCCTACCTCCACCAACTAACTGTGCAAGAGAAATGGAAAGTTCAAACAAGACAAACCTCAGAAGCTGGAGCACTGCTGAGGGAAGGGATGAGACATCACTTTGAAGATAGGATAATTTCTTGAAAGTCTTCATATAGAGGGGTGAAAGGACTTCCTCTTCCCTTCCACTGTCCCCCACCCCGCCCCCACCACAGTTGCCTCCCACTGCTAAGGCTTTCAGAAGGGCAGAAGGCATCCTTTAACAGAACAGTCAAGAGATGGGGAGACTAAAGGATTCCTCCCAGGAAAAACCAGCAAAATTAAGAGAAAAGACCTTTAGAGAGATGCTATTTTACATAAGCTCACAGTAAACCTACTAGTTCATAAGTTTCATGCCCAAACACACAGCACTTACAATTAGTTTTTCAGTCCCTCACTCTTGAATATGAATGGACAGAGAAGAATCACTAGGTATTTGAGAAAAGCATCTAATATGAAATTCAAGGACTAAAACAAATGAGCAGAAAATGAAAACAATGCCAGGAGCAGAAAAAAAGTCTCAAAAATAAACAGTAATATTTATTGTAAAAGATGTGTGCACAAAAAATAAGAGAATAATAATTTGGTAAAAAGAAAACATCTGGAAAAAAACAGTGTGCAGAAATTAAAAATGTAATAGCAGATTTGCGAAAAAAATAATCAGAACTGCCAGATCAACGTGGTCAAATCCCTCAGAATAAAAGATCAATAATAATGATGATAGCAATGCTAATTTAAAAAAATATAGTTAGTATGTTTTAAAGTGCTTTCTGCCAGGTGCTATTCCAAGCACCTTAGAAAATGAACATATTTAATCCTCAAATCAATCCTAAGAATTAAACCCATTTTATATAGATGAAGACATTGAAACACAAAGGTTAATTAACTTGTCCAAGGTCGCAAAGTAATTAAGTAGCAGACCCAGGACTTGAGTTTGGAAAGTCTTGCTCTGTAGCTCATCCTCTTCACCACCATCCTATATGGCTTTCTAAAGACATAGAAAATGGCCAAGTTTGGTGGCTCACACCTGTAATCCCAGCACTTTGGGAGGCTAAGGCGGAAGGCTCACCTGAGGCCAGAAATTTAAGACCAGCCTGGGCAAAACAGTGAGATCCTTTCTCTACAAAAAAATAAAAGAATTAACCAGGGATGGTGGGGCATGCCTGTAGTCCCAGCTACTCGGAAGGCAGAGTGGGAGCATTGCTTGAGGCCAGGGGGTGGAGGATGTAGTAAGCCATGATCACACCAGTGCATTCTAGCCTGGGTGACAGAGCGAGACACTGTCTAAAAAGAAAAAAAAAAAAAAGACAGAACATGAGAGAAAAAAGAAAACATTTAGAGGAATAGTTTAGGAGGTTGACACCCTGAAATAGGGTATTTTAGATTTTAAAATTCTACTGAGTATATAAACTCTGAATGGAAGTAGACCTACAACAAGGCATATAATTCTGACGTTTTAGAACAAGAAGGAATACAGAGAAAATCTAAATAGCTTCTTCAGGTTGGGTGTGAACACGTCAGGAACATGAATGGCATCAAACTTTATAACAGCAACAATGGACTGCTCTGAGACAAAGTTATTTTTAATCTAGAATTGTATGTTCAGCAACACTAATGTTAAATTTGAGAGTGGAATTAAGACATTATCAGACATGCAAAATTTAAAACATCTCTACCACCTCACTCCTCCCTTCTACCTCCATTCACTCTCAAGTTATTAGACAATGTATAGCACCAAAACAAGGGATGAACTAATACATATGAACACTAGAGATCCAGGAAACAAGACATCTTACACAGAAGCAAGGTCAAGGCAGTTGCTAGAATGATAAAGGAAAGTGCCAGAATAACAGCTGTGTAGACAACCTAGGAAGCAAGCTGTCCATTTGGAGTTGGAGTATGGACGATTTCAAGGGTTTCACACTTACATACATTTAAGAGGAGTTTGAAAACTTTAGTGGAAAGTTTTGAGATGAATTCGTAATTCATATAGATAAAAAATGAGGCAATTGTTACCTCTAGAAAAAACAATAGATGTATCAGAAAGGAGAAATATAGACTGTCAAATAGTATAATATTTGACTGAATAAGAAATTGTCATCATGTACACACTTAATACTGACTTAACTAGGGAAGAAGAATTAAATATACTGAAAGGGGAAATAAAGAAAGTGATAGACCAGCCTTGGCAACATGGTAAAACCCCGTCTCTACAAAAAATATTAATACGAAAATTAGCCAGGGGTGGTGGCGCTCACCTACAGTCTCAGCTACTTGGGAGGCTGAGGTGGGAAGATCTCTTGAGTCCTGGAGGCAGGGGCTGCAGTGAGCCAAGACTGTGCCACTGCACTCCAGCCTGGGTGACAGAGCAAGACCCTGTCTCAAAAACAAACAAAAGAAGAAAGTTATATAGGGAAGGAGAAAACGCAAGAGAGAGAGCAAGAGAGACAGCGTGTGCGAGAGACAGCAAGAGAATGTGTGTGTGTGTATGGTGTGTGAATGGTATTATATGAGAGCTGAACCTTTGTATTTTGTGCAATGACAGTAATAAACATAAAAATTGGAAGGAAAAGGCAGTACAGAAATAAGAAGTCAAATAAATGCCACAAGAATAAACTGATAGTGGTCTATGTATACCCACCAACCCCAAACTTACTTTTACATTAATATTAAAAGGAACACCTACTACTAATATTAGATCCTTTAGAAAACAACCTCCTATTTCACAGTATTAAGTTATCAAGTCTCAAAGAGTATACTAAATTTATTCTAAGGAAAAGTGGTTCAAATGTTTCTTTTTCCATGAAGTAGTATGCTTCTAAAACCAATCAGACTGGAAGAACAATTGGTGTTTGGGGCAAAGATAGTTCATTTGGAATATCTGTATTTGATAATGAATATCCAACCCAAGAGGCCTTCTCTGAAGCGGGAGTTGTAACACTACAGGAAAGAAATCACACAGAAAAAATAGCAACCTCTCTAGCCTGCTTACCTCCATCCATTAACTTTGATATTTCTTTTTGCAAAGTGAAGGGGCATATTGCATTCACTATAAAATTCAACACCACAAAAAGCACATGACTTTTTTTTTCTAGTTGTTTTATATTATTTTTATTTATTTATTTTTATACTTTAAGTTCTAGGGTACAGGTGCACAATGTGCAGGTTTGTTACATATGTACACATGTGCCATGTTGGTGTGCTGGACCCGCTAACTCGTCATTCACATTAGGTATATCTCCTAATGCTATCCCTCACCCCTCCCCCCACCCCATGACAGGCCCCAGTGTGTGATGTTCCCCACTCTGTGTCCAAGTGTTCTCACTGTTCAATTCCCACCTATGAGTGAGAACCTGTGGTGTTTGGTTTTTTGTCCTTGCGATACTTTGCTCAGAATGATGGTTTCCAGCTTCATCCATGTCCCTATAAAGGACATGAACTCATCCTTTTTTAGGGCTGCATAGTATTCCATAGTGTATATGTGCCTCATTTTCTTAATCCAGTCTATCATTGGTGGACATCTGGGTTGGTTCCCAGTCTTTGCTATTGCGAAAAGTGCCGCAATAAACATATGTGTGCATGTGTCTTTATAGCAGCATGATTTATAATCCTTTGGGTATATACCCAGTAATGGGATGGCTGGGTCTAATGGTATTTCTAGTTCTAGATCCTTGAGGAATCGCCACACTGTCTTCCACAATGGTTGAACTAGTTTACAGTCCCACCAACAGTATAAAAGTGTTCCTGTGTCTCCACATCCTCTCCAGCACCTGTTCTTTCCTGACTTTTTAATGATCGCCATTCTAACTGGTGTGAGATGGTATCTCATTGTGGTTTTGATTTGCATTTCTCTGATGGCCAGTGATGACGAGCATTTTTTCATGTGTCTGTTGGCTGCATAAATGTCTTCTTTTGAGAGGTGTCTGTCCATATCCTTTGCCCACTTTTTGATGGGGTTGATTTTTTCTGTAAATTTGTTTAAGCTCTTTGTAGATTCTGGATATTAGCCCTTAGTCAGATGGGTAGATTGTAAAAATTTTCTCCCATTCTGTAGGTGGCCTGTTCACTCTGATGGCAGTTTCTTTTGCTGTGCAGAAGCTCTTTAGTTTAATTAGATCCCATTTGTCAATTTTGGCTTTTGTTGTCATTGCTTTTGGTGTTTTAGTCATGAAGTCCTTGCCCATGCCTATGTCCTGAATGGTATTGCCTAGGTTTTCTTCTAGGGTTTTAATGGTTTTAGGTCTAACATTTAAGTCTTTAATCCATCTTGAATTAATTTTTGTATAAGGTGTAAGGAAGGGATCCAGTTTCAGCTTTCTACATGTGGCTAGCCAGTTTTCCCAGCACCATTTATTAAACAGAGAATCCTTTCCCCATTTCTTGTTTTTGTCAGGTTTGTCAAAGATCAGATGGCTGTAGATGTGTGGTATTATTTCTGAGGGCTCCGTTCTGTTCCATTGATCTATATCTCTGTTTTGGTACCAGTACCATGCTGTTTTGGTTACTGTAGCCTTGCAGTATAGTTGGAAGTCAGGTAGCACGATGCCCGCAGCTTTGTTCTTTGGCTTAGGATTGTCTTGGCAAAGCAGGCTCTTTTTTGGTTCCATATGAACTTTAAAGCAGTTTTTTCTCCTTTTGTGAAGAAAGTCATTGGTAGCTTGATGGGGATGGCACTGAATCTATAAATTACCTTGGGCAGTATAGTCATTTTCACAAGGTTGATTCTTCCTAACCATAAGCATGGAATGTTCTTCCATTTGTTTGTATTCTCTTCTTTCGCTGAGCAGTGGTTTGTAGTTCTCCTTGAAGAGGTCCTTCACATCCCTTGTAAGGTGGATTCCTAGGTATTTTATTCTCTTTGAAGCAGTTGTGAATGGGAGTTCACTCATGATTTGGCTCTCTGTCTGTTAATGGTGTATAGGAATGCTTGTGATTTTTGCACATTGATTTTGTATCCTGAGACTTTGCTGAAGTTGCTTATCAGCTTAAGGAGATTTTGGGCTGAGACGATGGGGTTTTCTAAATATACAATCACATCATCTGCAAACAGAGACAATATGACTTCCTCTTTTTCTAATTAAACACACTTTATTTCTTTCTCTTGCCTGACTGCCCTGGCCAGAACTTCCAACACTATGTTGAATGGGAGTGGTGAGAGAGGGCATCCATGTCTTGTGCCAGTTTTCAAAGGGAATGCTTCCAGTTTTTGCCCATTCAGTATGATGTTGGCTGTGGGTTTGTCATAAATAGCGCTTATTATTTTGAGATACGTCCCATCAATACCTAGTTTATTGAGAGTTTTTAGCATGAACAGCTGTTGAATTTTTTCAGAGGCCTTTTCTGCATCTATTCATATAATCGTGTGGTTTTTGTCTTTGGTTCTGTTTATACGATGGATTACATTTATTGATTCGCGTATGTTGAACCACCCTTGCATCCTAGGGATGAAGACAACTTGATCGTGGTGTATAAGCTTTTTGATGTGCTGCTGGATTTGGTTTGCCAGCATTTTATTGAGGATTTCTGCATAGATGTTCATCAGGGATATTGGTCTAAAATTATCTTTTTTTGTTGTTGTTGTTGTGTCTCTGCCAGGCTTTGGTATCAGGATGATGCTGGCCTCATAAAATGAGTTAGGGAGAATTTCCTCTTTTTCTATTGATTGGAATAGTTTCAGAAGGAATGGTACCAGCTCCTCTTTGTACCTCTGGTAGAATTTGGCTGTTAATCCATCGGGTCCTGGACTTTTTTTGGTTGGTAGGTTATTAATTATTGCCTCAATTTCAGAATCTGTTATTGGTCTATACAGGGATTCAACTTCTTCCTCGTTTAGTCGTGGGAGGGTGTATGTGTCCAGGAATTTATCCATTTCTTCTAGATTTTCTAGTTTATTTGCGTAGAGGTGTTTATAGTATTCTCTGATGGTAGTTTGTATTTCTGTGGGATCGGTGGTGATATCCCCTTTATCTTTTTATTGTGTCTATTTGATTCTTCTTTCTTTTCGTTAGTCTTGCTAGTGGCTTATCAATTTTGTTGATCTTTTCAAAAAACCAGCTCCTGGATTCATTAATTTTTTGAAAAGTTTTTTTGTGTCTCCATCTCCTTCAGTTCTGCTCTGATCTTAGTTATCTCTTACCTTCTGCTAGCTTTTGAATGTGTTTGCTCTTGGTTCTCTAGTTCTTTTAATTGTGATGTTAGGGTGTCAGTTTTTGGTCTTTCCTTCTTTCTCTTTTGGGCATTTAGTGCTATAAATTTCCCTCTATATATTGCTTTAAATGTGTCCCAGAGATTCTGGTATGTTGTGTCTTTGTTCTCATTGGTTTCAAAGAACATCCTTATTTCTGCCTTCATTTCGTTATGTACCCAGTAGTCATTCAGGAGCAGGTTGTTCAGTTTCCATACAGTTGAGTGGTTTTGAGTGAGTGTCTTAATCCTGCATTCTAGTTTGATTGCACTATGGTCTGAGAGACAGTTTGTTATAATTTATGTTCTTTTACATTTGCTGAGGAGTGCTTTACTTCCAACTATGTGGTCAATTTAGGAATAAGTGTGATGTCGTGCTGAGAAGAATGTATATTCTGTTGATTTGGGGTGGAGAGTTCTGTAGATGTCTATTAGGTCTGCCTGGTGCAGAGCTGCGTTCAATTCCTGGATATCCTTGTTAACTTTCTGTCTTGTTGATCTGTCTAATGTTGACAGTCAGGTGTTAAAGTCTCCCATTATTATTGTGTGGGAGTCTAAGTCTCTTTGTAGGTCTCTAAGGACTTGCTTTATGAATCTGGGTGCTCCTGCATTGGGTGCATATACATTTAGGATAGTTAGCTCTTCTTGTTGAATTGATACCTTTACCGTTATGCAATGGCCTTCTTTGTCTCTTCTGATCTTTGTTGATTTAAAGTCTGTTTTATCAGAGACTAGGATTGCAATCCCTGCCTATTTTTGTTTTCCATTTGCTTGGTAGATCTTCTTCTATCCCTTTATTTTGAGCCTATGTGTGTCTCTGCATGTGAGATGGGTCTCCTGAATGCAGCACACTGATGGGTCTTGACTCTTTATCCAATTTTCCAGTCTGTGTCTTTTAATTGGAGAATTTAGTCCATTTACATTTAAGGTTAATTTTGTTATGTGTGAATTTGATCCTGTCATTATTATGTTAGCTCATTATTTTGCTCGTTAGTTAATGCAGTTTCTTCCTAGCATTGGTGGTCTTTACAATTTGGCATGTTTTTGCAGTGGCTAGTACCGGTTGTTCCTTTCCATGTTTAGTGCTTCATTCACGAGCTCCTGTAAGGCAAGCCTGGTGGTAACGAAATCTCTCAGCATTTGTTTGTCTGTAAAGGATTTTATTTCTCCTTCACTTATGAAGCTTAGTTTGGCTGGATATGAAATTCTGGGTTGAATATTCTTTTCTTTAAGAATGTTGAATATTGGCCCCCACTCTCTTCTGGTTTGTAGAATGTCTGCCGAGAGATCAGCTGTTAGTCTGATGGGCTTCCCTTTGTGGGTAACCCGACCTTTCTCTCTGGCTGCCCTTAACATTTTTTCCTTCATTTCAACTTTGGTGAGTCTGACAATTATGTGTCTTGGAGTTGCTCTTCTCGAGGAGTATCTTTGTGGCGTTCTCTGTATTTCCTGAATTTGAATGTTGGCCTGCCTTGCTAGATTGGGGAAGTTCTCCTGGATAATATCCTGCAGAGTGTTTTCCAACTTGGTTCCATTCTCCCCGTCACTTTCAGGTACACCAATCAGACATAGATTTGGTCTTTTGACATAGTCCCATACTTCTTGGAGGCTTTGTTCATTTCTTTTTAGTCTTTTTTCTCTAAACTTCTCTTCTCGCTTCATTTCATTCATTTGCTCTTCAATCACTGATACCCTTTCTTTCACTTGATCAAATTGGCTACTGA